>NC_000010.11:78627943-78779458 GCF_000001405.40 Homo sapiens
GTTAAGTGCAAGATTTTATAACAGGAGTCTGATAAATGCCAGAGACACTTGTGTGAACTAGTGTAGCCTGGGGAGGTTTCTTGGAGGAGGTACAGCATGATCGATCTAAAGGGTAAATAGGACATAATTATTTGAAAAAAGGAGACATGCATTTCAGGTTGAAGGGAGAGGAAGACAACATCTTAACCAACAAGACAATGTCCCCAGTGCCCCTGTGACACATCCACATGCCATGCCCTCATTGCTAACCTGGGACATTGCTGAGGAGGGGACCCTGTTAGAAGGCTGAGCTTCTTGCGCCAAAGGAGCAGATGTGGGCTCTTCTTTGCAATGGGTTTGTTGTTTCCTGCTTTCAGCAGGCCTGCGTCCTCCAGCCCCATTAGGATGTGGGCTGGCTCCACCTCTGTAGGCTGGATGTGGGATGGGAGGCTGACCTGGCCCTCATGGAGGACCCTGGCTCCAATCCTCATGGCTCTGCAGGCTGTGAGCTCCTCTGCTGAGGAGATGGGGGTGTTGAATTCCCTAATGGTTCCCTAGAAAGGGACTGTTGCATACAGGTGAGCCAAGAACAGGCAGAGGACCCCTTTCCCCAAGTGATCAGCCAGGCTTGAGGTCTCTCAGTGGAAGCCTGGAGCTGGGGCTGCTGGGAATGGCCGTCTTTTCTTGAGTTGCTCACCTGTGAGGGCCGTCTGTCTGCCAGACTGCTCCTCATACTTCTGTCTGACCACTCATCTCTGGCATTCCCAGCTCTGTGAACTCAGGGCTCTGTTGGAACACTGGGTGATGGGACCCACGCAGGGGCCTTCCCTGTTGGCTGCCAAACTCACACTGAGGTCAGAGAAGGAGGCTCTGTGTGGCCATGCGAGTCTCCCCACTTCCCTCTCTTAACTCGCTTTCCCACTCTGACTTCCTTCCTTTCCAGAACTACAGTCTGAGGCAGCAAGAAGGACCCCTAAAGGTCACTAAGAGTACATAGAGATGGAGAAACTGAGGCTGAGAGAAGCGAGGAGACTCTCCCAAGACTCCAGGATGCATCAGCCAAGGAGCAGAGACCAGTGCCCTGATGTCCGACCTGTTTTCTGTCCACTACGGCATGGGGTCCTGGCCTCACTATCTGTCCATGGGCTCTTTCTCTCCATTAGAGGTGAAGCCCTGGGGACAGGATCTGCACTTTCTACAGAACCCACAGAAGCCATGCAGAAGCCAGGCCTTTCTCCCCCGCTTCCCCTTCCTCTGCCTCCGCCTCTGCTCTCCCTGGCTCTGAGTGCCGCGGACCCTCCTGCCCCTCCTGCCTTCTGCTTGCTGGCCTGGCCTGGCTCTGCCAGGCCCTCTTTCAGCACCTGCACCCCTGCAGCTTTCAACTGTTGGCCAAGTGTTGTGCTGTCACCAAGTTCGAAACGTGGCTACACTATTTTCTCTGGTTCTTTCTCTTTGGGCTGAGCCAAAAATAAAAAGCAGTCACACCCAAGGTTCAAGTTAAACGCATGTACTTACTTCCCAGTTTCCTTCTCCTTGACATACATGGTATGAGGAAGAGGGCCAGAGTGCACCCCAATCTCACCCACCCTGCAGGAGACCACACAAGCCAACTGAGGGGGCCTGCCACCCAGGTAGAATTGCAGGACAGCTTCTTCTGGCCCAGGGAGAGCCACCTGCTCTGTCATCGGGCCCAGGAGCAGGAGTAGTACAGCTGACTGACTTCCCACATGTCCAGGATAGGAGACATGCACTCCCTTTTCTTATGAGCTAACCAGACTCAGTGTAGCTGCAGTTTCTGTTGGTGCCACCAGATATACTCGGCTACTTTTTCTCCACTTCTTCCCAAGAAATCACACTTACTCAAGTTTTAGCCAAGAGAGCCATTATCATAACACAAATATTTTAGAATGATAAGCCTAGAAAGTTCTACTAAAAGTTTTGACGATGGGTGCCCATCTGAAAGGATTGTCATTATGTGACACATTGAGTCTGGAATCCCTGGCCCAATAAGGTGAGACCTGGGCCGTTCCCCAGCTGACCACTATCCAAAGTCCAACTTCCACAGCTTGGCGTGGCTCCGATGGACAGTAGCGTGAAGAGGGTGGATTGAAAATTTCGTGCGGAGCAACTGACTGGAAAACGTACTTAGTGTCTCTTTTTTCGTGGTGATGGCTACAGATGTGCCGGAAAGTGCTGGAAACATTCTTCCCTTTCTCTGCCTTCACCAAGGAGGAAACGGTGCAGTGTTTCTTAAAACTGAAGAACTTCTCCCCAGGGGATTTAATTTTTTTTTTTTTTTATGTTTCTGAGAAAGATAGTATAATTTTCTAGCCCCTAAAGAAGGCTTTTTAGTTTACAGGAGGAGGACTATCAGGAAGGTGAGTGCAGGTGATGTGGGGGAACATGCAGGTGGAGACTTTGAGGCAGAAGAGAGGAGGAGCAGGGACCCTAGGCTGAGCTGGGCAAATGCCACCAGCACTAGAGGCTGGGGTGGGGTGAACGGCTCCCCGGTATCTGAGGCTGTCGACAAGCCTTGCATTCTAAAGACGTTAGCAACAGGGCATGCCCCACCAGCAAGGAGCATCTTCCCTGTATCTGAGGCTGTCGACACACCTTGCACCCCAAAGAGGTTAGCGATGGGGAAATGCCAGCGGCAAAGATGTCTCTCCAGTATCTGAGGCTGTTGGCACATCTTGCACCCCAAACACATTAGCAGAGTGGGCTACATGCACATGGGCCTTGTGAGAGGGGGTGTTTGTTTAAAGGCCAAGGAAAGACCAGTGTTTGGAAACTAGAAGTACACAGATGGAAAAAGAGTAGTAGCCGTAGGCTGGGTGGATGGATGGTGGGGGAACTGAACCACTTTCACAGAAGCCAAAGACCAAGCCCACAGGGACCCTGTGAGCCTTCCCAGGCTTCTAGTTGCCCCAGTGATGCTAGCACAAAGCCAGCTGGGCTATACTGGGAGTGCCCGACATTCTATTCCAGTATTTCAGTTGGGACTCTTTCTCTTTTATTTTAAAAAAATTACCTATTTTTAAAAAAATCAACAATTACTGAATTCACTCAGTTTTAGGCCACATGTTTAACACCCAGAGTAGGGAAATGAATCAGACACAGGCCCGTGGGCCCTAGTGGGGTTTGAGCTCTATCAGGGGCGGTAGTTCAGAAAGAAAAGCTGGCAGCAGACTGTGACACAGATGGCAGGAGTGAGGGAGGACGTGGGGAGCACAAACAGGGGCGGCCCATTCTTGGTGGGGTGGAGTCAGGCATGGGTTTGGGAAAAGGTGTCTCCCAGACCAAGGGCCTCTCTGACTAGAGGCTGGGGTGGGGTGAGCGGCTTCAACACACCCCGCATTCTCAGCATTTGGCTTTTTAAAGAGACTTTCTCATCTATTTCCCCAAGTGATTCTCACAATAACTGTGGTTTCTGATCTTATTCGCCAACACTCTCATCCTCCCCAGCTGTATAAACATTTGGGCGAAGTGACTGGGTATAAGCAATTATTCTGGAAGCCCAGTGCATGGCCCGCAGAGGGGCAAGTGTGTGCATTTGAATGATGTGTGCCCCCTCATGTGAGAGTTGGGCCCCGAGCAAGCAGCTCAGGGAAGCACCCAGGCTCCTGGAGGACCCATTGCTCAGTAACAGTATCAGCCTCACAAACAAACAACATCACCCTAAGTGATCCCTCCAGATGTGCTCAAAGCAATCTCCCAGTAAATAACTGTGTCCAGCCCAACAGGGTGGGGACGGATTTAGCAGGAAAAGGCTGCTCAGAAGAGAGAGGTTTCCTCCCTTTGAGAAGTTTCTCTCATCTCCTGCTAGCTAACCCTTTGGCATGAGATGGAAGGTGGGCCGGCTAGGCCTGGAACAGTAGGCTAGGGGATACTGAGGATGGTGCAGGGCTCTGTGAGCCTGGGTCCCGCTCAGGAATCCAGGTGTGGGGCTGGGGCTATCAGGAACCTCTTGTTACTAATCAGTGCGGATAAAGACTTCAAGAAAAGGGAAACCAACATTCTTTGAGCATTTTCATTAGGCTCTTTGGCACCTGTGCACTGAGTGTGACGTGGGTGTTATGATTCCTCACTTACCTGAGAGAAAACTGAGGCTCAGAGAAGACTGAGGCTTACAGCACCACACAGCTGTGAGGAATCAGAGTTGATAATTGAACCTGGATGTGTTTGAGCCCTAGGCCAGCCCCTTCTGCACTTGATCATACTTCCTGTCATGAGTGGGTTCTGTCCAAGGACTTGGATGGTGCAAGGGAGGTCCCATCTGAGGGTGCAAACATTAAATCAACATTCACTCTGGGGGTCATGCAAGTGCAGGACCTGCGTCTCAGGGAGGGGGCCTTCTTCCATGAAGTCCCTGGGCCTCTTCTTGCCTCAGCTTGGGAGGCAGCTCTGGGCCTCCCTCTGCCCAGGCTTCACCTCCATGGGTTCTCCTTCTATCCTTTGGCTGTTGCAGCCTCTTTTCCAGAGACCATGAAAAGGGATTGTGAAAGCGACCATGACACTGAGAACACAAGATGATTCATCTGTATCTTTTTCTACATCAGATGAAGTCCAGTTGACATCCCTGCCCACCTGGACTCATGAGAAGTTAGTGTCTGTCCCCTTGGAGCTCCCCCTGCAATTCTCTGATTCATCTGATTCATGGGAGACCCCCATGCTTATGCAATGAAATAAATTAAATGCGGTCCCATTTCCTCCTCTTTATTAATTTATTATTGCATCTGCTAGGACTCTTTCCCATGCCTGCACAGTTCTTTCAGAAAAGGCCAAATCTGCTGGTACCCGCCACCTCACTTCCACTCGTATGTCTCCTGACTCCCTGGATGAAGCGAATATTGAAGGGCCTCTCTTCAGCTCCATTTATATGTTTCTATACCAAACTGAGCTTGTTTGAGAAGAAGTGATGGAGCTGTGGTCTTCACGCAGGTGTCCATGACTCCCTCCTCAAGTCACTAAAGACTTCAGCTCCCTGATGGTGGCCAGGGATAACAACTTCCACCTGCTGAGTGCACACCATGTCTGGGCCTGGCGCAGACACTGTTCCAGCCTGAAGAGGCTGCACAAAAGCTCAGGCATGGCCAGACAGTGCTTGGTTGGAGGGCCTTCTCCTTCCTGGAAACCACCCTGTGTGTAATGTTTGCGTGACATTTCTTGGTTCTTCATAGCTTCACAGGACAGGGTGTAGCATCCTGGTGAATGAAAAAAGCAAGTTGCAGAATGATACATAAAATAAAATGCAATCGTGTTAAGCACACTTGCAATAGGTCTGTATTTTTTTTTCTGGATACATATTTATATATGTAAATACTAGGAAAATGTCTAGAAGGACACACCCCAATCAATACTTCTAGTTGTCTCCCAGGTGACCATTGGATGGGAGGAGCAGTGGTCAAATAATACTTTAGTCTTATCTATAATATTTTGTAAGGAGCAGTTATCTTGATTTTATTTATGCAATTAAAATTAATTTTACAATGAAAGGAAATGGCAAAAAATGGCATACATGCTGTGACAATCTTAGTGACTGCAAGTCTGAGAGTAAAGCCTCTTTCTACCATTTTGTGAGCTAGCTTTGTTACAAAGAAAGTGCTGGGGGAATTAAATGCTAGTTGTGATAGGTAATTTCTCTGGAAGCCTAAGGTCCCACAGCACGGAGGCTAGAGGAATTTTTTTTAAACATATATTTGTTTTATACTGGCAAAAGTGACATATATTCACAGTAGATGATTTTCAAGCTATTGAAAAGTTTTTTTTTTTTTTTTTGAGACTAAGTCTTGCTCTGTCACCCAGGCTGGAGTTGCAATGGTGTGATCTCTGCTCACCGCAACCTCTGCCTCCTAGGTTCAAGCGATTCGCCTGCCTCAGCCTCTCAAGTAGCTGGGATTACAGGTGCGCACCACCATGCCCGGATAATTTTTTCTATTTTTAGTAGAGACGGGGTTTCACCACGTTGGCCAGGCTGGCCTGGAACTCCTGACCGCATGATCTGCCTGCCTCGGCCTCCCAAAGAGCTGGGATTACAGGCGTGAGCCACCGCGCCTGGCTGAAAAGTTTTAAATGGAAAATGGAAACCTCTTGTAATCCACCCATAGAGTCGTAATCATGGTTAACATTTCAGCACAGGGGCTACCGTGGATTTGGACACACCTGGAGTCACACCCCACCTCTGCCATTCACCTGTACCATATAAAACTTAGTCCTGGAGCTGTGAATAGGGAAGATAATACTCAGTCATAGGGCGAGAACTAATTAACTGAGGGTGCTCTGCAGTGAGCGCCAGGAGTGTTCAGTAAATACAAGTACTCACTGTGCACTGGTTGGCAGCGTCACGCCTTCATGTATGTTTTTCCACCAAATTGGGATCATGCAATATACGTTGTATTTATCCCTTTTATCTGATATTTTAACATGCACACTTTTAATGTGGGCACTCTTGAGTCCTTGGGGACACAAGTTGAGCTGTGCCAGGCCAACTTGCAGAGCTGGTGGTGAGAGCTGTGTCCTGCACCTGCTCTGAAGCCATTCATGGCTCCCTGCTGCTGCCAGAGTAAATCTAATTTACTTGGAGTCTGTCTGGGTTCTTCAGACTCTGGCCCTATGCTGGCTGCCCTGCCTTTTCCCCATCTGCTTAGCCTGCTCCCTTTGCATCCAGATTCCCCTGAGTGAGTCATCCTGACACCTCCCAGCCTCCAGCCCCATGCCCGGAACTCTACCTTTCTCCTTGTGTCCATTCAAACCCAGTCTCTCCACTGGGGCTCTTGTCTTCACTGTTCAGGTACAATAATCCCCTCTATTTCTCAGTTCCACATTTTCCAGAGCACTGGTGTGACCCAAACACTTTCGACCTCAATCAGTCAATTTCATTCACTGTTTGGTATTCATTTTTCTCTCCTCAGCTACATTGCATGTCCCTAAAGACTGGGGTGTTGCAATTTGCCACTTTTCTTTTTTTAATTCTAAAAGTTACCTAGGACTGTGCTGAACACATAGGAAACACCCAGATACATGTTGGCTGGTGTTTTTGCACCAGATAATGAGTGACTGGGTGTTTTTTGTTTGTTGCTTTTCCTAGCCTCAGGAATGTCTCCTGGCTGGGTCAGCTGTCAGCTAAGAAACACAGACCTTGTCTCGTGGCATGGATATCTGCAGTTGTTATCTTTCCAGCAGCCATGCCCTTGTTTTTTCATAACCCTTTTCCCATTCTCTGTCCACGTGTTTAGCAATGAAATGGGTCAACCCTGGCTTAGGGATTGAGTCTCATTCCTGGTCACAGTGATTGGTTTAGGATGGACAGAGGACCTACACAATCCAACAAAATACCACCCTGGAACTTTTACTACACAAAAAGGGAGAAATATAAAGGTCTCTCCCTCCTGGTCTTTGTTTTAGAAGATAAGGAGTTCTGGACCTGCCAGCAGCCACCATATGGAGGAATTTTACCTGAGAGCAGAGCCACTACTTGGGAAAACAGTCAAGATATGAAGGGAGTGTTGGATGTGTTACTATTAAGTGGTGGTGTCTGAACCCTGGATCCAGCCAAACCTGCAGCCAAATCCTATCCTTGTTATTTTTAGCTATATGAACCAAAATGTTTTTGGTTTTATTAAATCAGTTTGGCTTAGCTTTTCTGTCACTCATAACTCAAAGACTCTAGGCTTGCCTCAGCCCCTAATTCTAAGACTTCTACTATCTGAACTTCTTTTCCACAGAAACTGAACATTTTGGAGCAGCCATAACAGACCCCAGAGCCCATGTCCATCCTCCTGGCTCTTACCTCCCAAGACCACACAAGGAGCTGCAGATCTGGAGCTGGGACTGAGTGTCTCCAGGACAGGGCTGTGCTGCTCTCCTGAGCCTTTGAGAGGACTGTGGGTGCTCACACAACCCATCACAGCTGTAGGTCTCAGGGAAACAGAGTGGTAATCATATTACAAGGGCTTCCATGGGAAGCTGCAAGGGACTTGAAGTGAGCAATGCACACAGCCTGCTTCCCAGGTACCTTCTGAGAAGTCCAAGGAAACCACATTTTTCTTGCTTTCGTGATTACTGTAAGATAGCAGAGAATCTGCTCCTGGGTGTCAGGTGTGCTGAAACTGGGCAGAAAGCTCTCAGTGCCAGGAACAGCCAAGGGTATCTGCCTCAGCTACACAGGGATAGCTGTTAAACAGGCAACCCACAAGCATGACAGTCACATACACTGCACGCACCTGTCCCGGTGGACAGCAGTTACCTCAGGGGGCCAAATCACAGGGCCCCCACTCCCTAACCCCTGGGGCCATCAACCACGCCACTCGTTCTTGCCAAGCTTGGACACAGACTTGGTCTCTTTCTCAAGGCAGCTCTGGATGACCACAACCAATGTTTGAGAGTTTGAAAGTGAGGTTAAACATTTTTATCAGCTATAGGAAAGGAATTCTGATGTGAAACACTGTAATACCTAATATAGTCACTCAATAAACTCGAGCTTCTAATATCTGAACTGGGGAGGCAGTTAAACCAGGAGGCATTTAGTGTGACTGCCATGTTTCATAGGTTATGGAACGGAGGCCCAGAGAGGGAAAGTTATCAGCCAAAGGTCACTTAGAGTATTCATGGCAGGTCTGAGTCTGCAACTTGGGTCTCCTGATTCCCAGTACAGTGTTCTTTCTACTCCCCTTCGGCTTCTCAAACCTCACCCCTAACTCTGGTCCACAGCTGAATGGATTCTTCCCATGGATCCAGGAGTTCTTGAGTCATCACAGACCACCATCACTATGGGAGAATGCACCATGTTGGTGGAGGCAGCCACACTCTCTTAATACAAAGGACAGGATGCATTAGTCAGTAATGGCCACAACAGTGCTATGTAACAAACCACCCTGGAACTCAGGGGCTTACAATAGCAAGGATATAACCTCATGTTCATGGGTCTGCAGATTAACAGAGAATTGGGTGACCCAGGCTGGACTTGGCTGGACAGGCCTCCTTTGGAATGCTGGTTGGCTGAGGTTGGCTCCAGGATGAGGATTGGAATGCAAGTGGCTTAACATGTGTTCAATCTGTAACTCAAGCTAGAGCCTAGAAGTCTCTTATTGCAAATCAAGGAAGCACACAATAATGAGTGGAAATTTGAAGCCTTTTGAAGCCTTGGCTCAGAACTAGCATGTTATCACTTCTACCTACACTCTGTTGGTCAAATAAAGTCATCCCAATGATATGGATCAGAGGAATAGACTCCATCTCTAGTAGGAACTGCAGAAGTCTCATGACAAAGAGCATGGATATGTGTTCTTATACACAGAAGCGAGGAAGACTTGAGAGCAAACATCTAATCTACCATGTGAAGTTTCAATCTCCCCACATTGTCCCATCTCCATTCTTGAGTCAATGTGCTGCCATCATCCTACATCTTTGCCTCCACCTCCCTTCATTAGAGATGCACAAAGTTGCTTCTTGTGAGTGAGTCTCAGTTAAACTCCTGCATGTGCCATTTAATGCTCCTTCTAGAACACAGCCAATGAAAGGGCTCCTCCCTGCTTTCAGTTTTTCTCAGCTCCAGCCCATCATGGCTAAAGAGCCAGATGAATCTTTCTGAGGTCTAGATTTTTATCAGTCCATACCAGTGTGAAAGGCTTTAATGGCTTCCACCACCCACGACATTGAGCTTTAACCCCCCAGCCTGGCATTCTAATCCTAAAGCATTACACTGCTCTGTCCAACTATTACCTACTGTTAGGTACTGACTGTCCTGGCCTAACTGGACAGAGTGTCCTTCATTTGTCTGCATTTTTTGGTCTCTGTGACCCACTCCATAATATCTCATGCCTTTCTCCCCAGCACCTTACACTGGCTGAGCTCCATGTATTCTGTATCAGTAGGGTTCAACCAGAGAAAGAAAATCAGTAGGAGAGACATATTAAAACATTTATTGCAAAGAAATGGCTAATCCAATTCTGGAGGTTGGCTAGACAACTCTAAAATCTGTAGGACAGGCTATCCAGGAATTCTGTCTCTGGACTACAGATTTTAGAGTTGTCTAGCCAACCTCCAGAATTGGATTAGCCAGAGACATAATTTCTTCTTCTTCTGGGAAGACTTAGCTCTCTTCTTAAGGTCTTTAAACTGATTGAACCAGGCCCACCCAGACTGCCTAGCATAATCTCCCTTACTTAAAGTCAACTGACTATGGACTTTAATCACATCTACGAAGGCTTTCATAGCAGCACCTAGATTAGTATTTGATTGAATAACTGAGGACAGTAACCTAGCCAAGCTGGCACACAAAACTGACCATCACATAAAACAATATACTCCTTGTCAACTTGGAATCTAAACGCATATCCTGAACCCAGGCTTAATCTCCCAGTAAAGATAATAACAAAGTCATACTCCCATCCAACATAACACAACTGTCCTGCATACAACTGAAAACGTGCTAACCCTTCTGCAGAAGAGAATGTGATGTACTTGGGTGATGCCCACTCTTCTCTCGTGATATCCTGTAACTTAAATACTATGACATAAACCTAACTACTATTAATATATACGTGTAATGATAAGAGGATAAGAGAGAAGAAAACAAAATCATTTAATTAATACATGTATATAAACACACAAAGATATATTTATGACAAAATAAGGAAGAATACTCATAATTATAGTCCCCACTTCTGCAACCGGTTACATGATCTTAGCTGCTCTTTATAACTTCTTCCATCACCCATTTCCTTTGTCCTCAGCAAGCACCCCAGCTAGTCATGGTTCTTTGCCTGGTGAAGTGACCCAAATATTTATTCCTGAAGGATCTGGGCTGTTAGCAGTCCTGTCTGAATTGAGTGTCGTAGTTTTCCATTGACTTTGATTCCAGGACATGGTAATACTAAGAGACGTCCCAAGGGATCTCCTGTGTTCCAGACATACTCTTCCTAACCCCTACTGTGTGGTAGCAACCCAGTTGCCCCTTGGCAGTCAGGGCCCATCACCCAGCCAGCCCTGTAACTCCCCTTCTGCCTGTTGATTCAGAGGCATGAGGAGCCCAAGGTAGCTGAGAGACCATCTTAACTTCCAGTTCAATGGGATCATTGTTATGACTCCTGATGGAAGCATTTCTCCCTCTGGAACTAAGACTTCTAGGTCAACAGAGTATAAAGGGGCAGAGATAGAAAGCAAAGACTATGCTAGAGAATCACTAAGGATCAAGGAGAATCTCTTAGAGGATCTGGAGATCAAGGAGTTGGGGTAGCACCCCTTACTCCCATTATAGTCCCATTTCCTAGTACTCCCATTTCTACTCCTTGATCCCTGGACCCATGAATCTCGGCAATGGAAGAAACAGCACCATGTATTGGATGCTGATTTAGAGTAATTTTGCCATTACTTTTAATGGCAAAAACCTCAATTACTTTTTGGCAATAACCGCAATTACTTTTGCACCAACCTAATATCAAGCCAGCTGCTTCAAAATGGCAGAAACATGGCAAGACCAGTGAATTCTGCAAGTGAGTGCTCATGTCTGTACTTCACTCGCTGTGAGATGAGTTCCTTGACCAGAAGCAACTGTGTGGAATACCACGATAAAGAATAAGGTTGTCTCTAAGTCCATGCATGGTAGTTTTGGCAGAAGCACTGAGTGCAGGGAAAGCATGTATATATCCAAAGTAATTGACCATTGAGGAGTTCAGTCTCATCCATTACAGCCCGGGTCACGTTTCGTCTCCTCCATAAAGACTTTAGTAACCTCTCAGACCAATCCAATGCCCATTCATTTGACCAACATTTATAGAGAGCTTTTGTGTGCTGGACACCCTGCTAGGTGCTGGGGAAAAAAACATGATCTCTGCTTTGAAAGAACTTAGGAAATTGTGAAATTGAACAAACAAATTGCTTTTCTGTGTCCTTGCAACCCAGGAGCCATGGGTTTGACCTCAGGACTGGGCAGTTTTCTGTGCCCTGGCAGACTGTGGGTGTCCTGAGGGCACGCTCCACAGTCTCACCCCAACTTGCATAACACTCAGGACATGAGATGTGCTGGAGAATCACTGGCAAGGCCTAGAAAACATGTAACTAATAGTTTCACAGAAGCCACTTCTTGGGATGTGGCCGGTGGGGATTCTGCCCTCTCTAGGGAGGTAGCAAATGTGAGTGGTGCTGTGGGCAAGGCCCTTCCTACCGCCTGCTTGTTGGGTCAGGCTGCACTGGCACTCAGCTCATCAGTCCTTCCACTCAGACAAAATCTACCTCATCTTGTTTAGGACCACATTGTTTCCAGCCAATGCACACAATCAGAGCCAGTCTCAAAGAGGGCAGAGAAAGCCACGTGACCCCACAGGCCACCTACAAACCATACCCTCCTGTCCTGGCTCCTGGAGAAAGTCTTCCCAAAGCCAGTGTTAGTTCCTGCTCCCCCTACCATGCCACCTTTCCTGCCTCTGACCAGCCACTGTACTTTATTGATTAATATTGGCACTATCCATCGGGCATTGCATAGCTACTATATGCCAGGTATTACAAATTTGTCATCTTCTCAAATTCTCATAACAACCAAATATGTAGTCATCCTAAGCTTCATTTACATTTGATTTCCATTCACCTTTAGTTCCTGTACTTTGTCTCAGAGGTGTAGCAAGCCCAGCTGACCTCTGGCACTGCAGGGGAAGAGAAGGAACATTGAGTTGAGAGCTGGATCTAGGCAGGGTAAGCTTGGGCAAGCCATTTCTCCTTTCTGGGCCCTGGATTTTCAGACTGTGAAATAAGACAATATTTGGGCTGAATGATGCCTCAGTCATTTCCCAGGTAAGTTATAAATTTTTAGGTACAGCATAAAAGCCAAAGTGCTGATGCTGTGCCCAGCAAAGATTAACACAACCAAAACTTATGCATTCTACAGAGAGCACTGGTTTCTTTATGAGCCTGCTTTTGAAACAATGTTGTTTGCTTGGAAGCTTCCCACTTACTCCTGTCTTTGCAAACCTATTTTGTGGATGTGTGTGCAACAAAACTGACATAATAGCCATGTGGTAGACCACAGTATTGGACCTAATTTTTTTGCCCTTCCCTGTGTCCATGAGTGGGTCAGGCTTCCTTGTCTCTTTGCGTTCAGCCATGGGACTTGCTTTGGGCAGTGGGCAGAGGCGATGGTGTCACCAGAGGCCGTGCACTCTTCTGCTTGCATTCTTGCTCCTCTGCCATCACAATGAGACAAATAAACCCAGGCTTATTGACTGGTCCCAGGAGGAGGATGAGGATCATATGATACAGAGCTACTCTTAGCCAATCCAGCCTGGACCAGCTGCCCCAGCCAACCTGCAGACACATGAACCAAATCAGTTCTTTGTCATACATGGCTGAGAATATCTGATGGTTTGTTACTCAGCCTTTTTGTGGCAGTAGCTCACTGAAATGGACACCTAGAAAGGTATTTATAATCCAGCCCCTCACATCCAGATGAGCTTTAGTGTTGATCTTGGCAATACCTCCCCCACATCACCAATCTAACATGTAATTCTGTCTGTTGGCCACACTTCGCATGCCTGCAAGTGTGAGGAGCTCACTGTTTCCTGAGGCAGCTGCACATTTGGAAATATAACTGCTGAACTTCTTCATAAGAAGTCAACTCACTCTCTCTTAACTTCTGCTTTTTGGCCCCCAGGGCCACACAGAATTGAATACTCCTCTTTTCTTCCTGACAGCTGTTCAGAGGTGTGAAAAGTGCTCTCACATTCTCCCATATATTTACTGTTAGTGCTAAACATCCCCTTGTCGCTGGCCATCTCTCACCCCTGTTACAAAGCTCAGCCCTGGGCCATTCCTGCAGCTCCACCAAACTGGGTCGGCTCCATCTTTCTCCTGCTTCACAAGCCCGGAGAAAAACAAAATAGCACAGGTGCATCCATCAGAGCAGAACAGCAAAGGGCTGTCCCTGCCCTCTCCCTGGACACTGCTGATGTCCCGTGCAGTGAGAGCTCTTTGGACTGCCACAGAACATCAATCACATCGATCCTGAGCTGGCCCCAGACAACAAACCGAAGGCATTCTCACACATGCTGTCACTACACCAGTCCTCTGCCCTCCTGAAATTTCAGATTCCCAGGTGTCCAAGGCATTTGGAAGAAAGAAAAGTCTACACTTTCTAACCACTCTTATCTACCAGTGTTCCTAGGAGTGGGAAACAGTTGGAAATCATCTCCAAAGCAGGCAGCAGGGATTGAGCCATTTATGTAGGAGCCCTCCAGTCCCTGGGAAGTGGGAGCCAGGCTGGGCCCTCTCAGGTCAATTGTATACCTTGTCTCAGAGCCTCTCGCCCCTGAACTGATGGAGAAGGATCCTCTTAGGACCTGCTGGCGCTTGAGAGTTAAGCTGCAATGAGCTCAAACCAGTTTCAGGGAGAAGTTTTCTCAGTTTAATTCCTGACATTCAGGGCCTTGTCATCAATTACTTGGCCACTTGGCTGGAGCATGGCAGCACTGTAAATGTGTGCATACTCTGGGTGCCTGGAGGCCCACGGATCATAAGGCACAGGCCATTTGGCCCACAAGCCAAGCGGAGCCTTGTTTACAGAAGCACCTGTGGGCAAGTGGGCATCCCGTGTCCCAGTGGCCTAGAACCAGGAACCCGGTGACTGCCTGGCCCAAGATGGCCCTCTTGCCTTAGCAACAGCTTGGGTAATTGCATTCCTTTCCATAGTGGCTGTTTAATTATTCATTATCCAACTTGGTCAGGGAGGGGTAGCTTCTTCTGTACCCAGGCTATATCTGTGAAGTCACAGAATCCAGGGCTGGAAAGGAAGTGAAAGATAATCTTGTCTAATTCAGGCTGGATTTTTTTTCTGCAAACTGTCTCTCTTACATTCCTCCTATCAAAGGAAGCTCATGACCTGCCCAAAACAGCTTATCATGATGTGAAATCTCCTTCCTATGGCTTCTACCCACTGCGCCCATATCTGCCTCCTGCAACCCATAAACCAAATCCCAATCCTGTAAAGAGCCTATTGGTGAAAACATTACCCACTGTTCTATACCTGTCTTCTTTAAGCCAAATAGCTCCAGTCCCTTCAACTATCTGCACTGTCCTCTGTGGCAAGGTTTCTGGCCCACCATACCCAGGACTCCCCTCTGTGGATGTTTCAGGAGACAATAGCATCACCCAAATGCATCATGGTGGCTGGTGTGGCATGTAGATCATCAGACAGGGAGCAGGACAAGGCAGCTTTGTTGCCCACAATCTTTCTTATGCCATTTGTTTCTTAAGCCTGTCCCTCCACCTGGAAAATGAATGGTCCACTCACTGTCAGTGACATAATTTAAGTGAGATGACCAGCGTGGGGGTAAGTCTCAGCACACACCAGTGACTTTGTTGACACCAGGATCCCATGACTACCGTTGAGCAAGAAAACCATCCTTTTGTGAACAGTGCCATGAATATGGGGCTGGCCAGCCTTGCAGACCTGCTCTTCCTAAGAGCCACAGCCCAATAAAGGGAGCCAAGACAAAGAGGAGGGGTCTTTACCCAGTGCATTAGTCAGAGCACTTCAGAAAAAGAGAAGCAATAGCACGTGTGGGTATATAGAACCAGATTTATTTTAGGGAATTGGCTAATGTGATTCTGAGTCCAAAATCTGATCGGGGAGGTCAGTAGGCAGGAGACTCAGGAAAGGTTGACAGTTTGAGTCCACAGGCAGTCTGCTGGGGAGGAAGGAAGAGGCAATGTTGTAGAGGAAGAACCAAGGCCTCTGCTGGTATAGTTCTCCCTGGAGATCAGTCTTCCATTCTACCCAGGCCTTCAACTGATTGGATAAGGCCCACCCACATTATGGAGGGTGGTCTGTTTTACTCAAAATCCACCAGTTTAAATGTAAATATGATCCGAAACACCCTCACAGGAACATCCAGAATAATATGTGACCACATATCTCGATCCAACTAAGTTGACACATAAAATTAACCATCACACCCAGGAAGACTCTTATCCAGTGACAGGGCACACAGAATGCAGGACGGACTTGGGATGTTCTTGCCAAGAACAACAATAAAAATGCCACCAAAAGCCTTTCTCAAATGGCAGTCTGTCTGTCAAGTTTACATTATCTAAAGACAACACCTGATGTTCACCACACCATTGACTACAATAAAAATGGTTACAAAGTATAGCACTGCCATTCAGCCATCAAAACTGATGTGGTGTTGTATATGAATACTTAGGTGGGAAGATGTTTATATATGTATATATACATATATGTATATATTGAAGCATCACAAGATATATGTGTAATTGATAGCCATGTATAATAAAGGTATTGATTTTATTCATCAAGATGGTAGCAGCATTTCTCTCCAGATATGTAAATGATGGGTTTCTTCCTTTTTTTCTCTTGCATGTATTATGCAGCATCCCCATTAATATCCTGCATTACTTGCCAGAGAACACAATAAATACAAGTTTTTGAAGTAAACAAAATGATTTTATGCAGTCATTTCTGTCACCTAACAATGCAGAAAACTGCAATATATTTATATAACATTTGTCTGAGTTATTTTCCAGCAAAATTTAACTAAACTTTTACATGCCACAGCCTGTGGGTTTTGTTGTTGATGTTGCTATTTTGGTTAAAAAGTGTTTTCAATGTTTTTGATCAGATGTAACAAAGCACTCCATAAAAGCTATTAAGTACTGTGCACATATCAGTTATTTCTAGAAGACATTCTGTTCTTAAACAGTGGCTGTCTTGTTCCACTCCTGCTGCTATAACAAAACACCTTAGACTGAGTAATTTACAAAGAACGGAAGTGTATTGCTCACAGTTCTAGAGGCTGGGAAGTCCAAAATCAAGGCACTAGCAGATTCAGTGTCTGGCGAAGGCTGCTCTCTGCTTCCAAGAGGGTGTCTTATGGCTGCACCCTCTGAAGAGGATGCAGCTGTGTTCTCACATGGCAGAAGGGATGGAAGGACAAAGGGACAGATAGCTCCCTAGACCTCTTTTATGAGGTCATTAATCCCATTCATGAAGGATCTGCCCTCATGACTTAATCATTTCCTAAAGGCCCTACCTCTTAATACCATCACACTGGTGATCAAGTTTCAACATATGAATTTAAGGGTAACACATTCAGACCACAGCACTGGCCATAGTTAACTCCTTCGCAGTCGTATTAACAAATAATCATCCCACATTTTCTGCTCTTAGCTGTCATTTCTGGTGAATCTTCAGGGCTCTTATCTGTAATATTTTTCACAACAACTGTGTGTCCATGGGAAGAAACATCTCACCTCTTATCTGGAGTCACATGCATGGTCTTTATAACTGCTGTTTCTCAACTTCTGGTCAATAAGGCCTTACTGTGTATGGGTTTCTCAACCTTGGCACTGTTGACATATTGGGTTGAAAAATTCTTGTGAGGGCCGTCCTGTGCACTGTAGGATCTTCAACAGCATCTCTGGCCTCTACGCACTAGACTCCAGTAGCAAACTTCAAGTTGTGACATCTAAAAATGTCTCTAGACATTGATAAATATCCCCTGGGGGAGCAAAATCACCCCTGGTTGAGAATTGCTGCTGTATTTTGTTAATGATCCACATACCCTAGAGCAACAGAGGAGGAAAGAATGATCAGATAAGCGTCCGGAAGGACATAGAAATTCCTTTGCCCATGTAGCACCCCCACTCCTCCCTATGCCCGTCTGATTGGATCTGACTGACCTGTGCTCTCTGGAGTCCAGCTCAAAGCTCTTTTAGAGAGACCCACACTGCTGTAACCAGGGCCACCTAGGCCATCTACCTGCTAGCAGCATTGGTCTGAGGCCATATCAACACAGAAGCCAGTGGAGAGAGGGTGCTGGGAAGAAGAAACCATGAGTGCATGGGGAAGTGGGAAGATGCAGACACATTTACAAGGCATTCAAACAGCCAAAGGAAGCTCAAAGTAGACAAGAAGGCCATGGGGATGGGGATGTCTCTCTTGCTGGGCCTGGATCTCAGAGGGTCTGGTCCCCTAAGTTAGCCAGATCACAGGTCCTCCTTCCCCCTGTTCCCTAAGAGCTGGGCCTGCAGGCGGGGATGCCATTTTAACCATACAGGGATTGGGGGAAAAGGAAAGGAAAATGCCATTCCAGATCTCCTTCACGCCTGCCTCTGTAACTTTTGTGCTATTTTCAGTTTTGGCATGAAAAAAAAAAACACACCCTGATCAGAGCCTAGGGAGCAGATGAAGGGGATCATGCTTGACATGTAATCAGTACGGCTTCATGGCTCTGAGAGGTACCCTTGATCTGGCCTCCAGCTTTTCTTGGCTCATTCAGAGCCTGGGAGCAGTCCATTCCACATACAATCTCAGAACACAACTCCCTCAGCTTGGAGCTCAAACACCTTCAATGGCTCCCTGCTTTCTGCAAGATAAATCTCAACTGCACGGCATGGTCTTCGTGTGAGATTCCTGCAGCTGCTGTAATGAATGACCAACAGCAGTGTGGCTTAAAACAACAGAAGTGTATTCTCGTACACTTCTGGGGGCCATAAGTCTAAAATCAAGGTGTTAGCAGGGCTGGCTCCTTCAGGAGGCTCTGTGAGAGAAGGCTCCAGGCCTCTCTCCTGGCTTCTGAGGTTGCTGGCCATCCTTGGCATCCTTAGCTTGCAGCTGCATCACCTGACCTCTGCCTCCATCCTCACATGACCTTCTCTCCATTGTTTTGTCTTCTCTCCTCTTTTTCTTAAGAGAACATTGGATTGTCATTGCATTTGGAGCCCACCTGGATAATCCAGGATGATCTCATCCTTACCTTAGTTATATCTACAAAAACCTTTATTCCAAATAAGGTTACATTCACACAGTCTAGCTGGGCATTGTTTTTGTGGGGGGGGCATTATTCAACTCAGTAAAGTCTTCAAGGGCCTCCAAAGGAGGCTTCATTCATTTGTTCACTCACTGATCCATTGATTCAGTTGATGACCCATGCTTGGCACATACCCTTCTGGGCCAACCTCCTGCCTGCTTTTCATGGATCCTGTTCCATTTCCCTTTTCCCCTATTCTCCACCCCTTCTCAGGGCCCAGCTATATTCCCATCCCCTCCAGGAAGTCTTCCTTGACTTTTAGCCCACACTGATGTGCCCTTTAGCAACATAACTCCATTCAGATCCCTGTCTGGCTTACTGCAATCTGATGACTGGCTGGGGCTGTCTTTGCAAGGCCTCCTGCAAGTCACTCACCAGACATGTATCGACCTCAGCTTAGGTAGAATCAGAAATAATCCACTCTGAAGTACAAACTGTGCCTGCCCAGGTGTGTTCAGGGGTAAGGGACAGAGTGGGGAGGAAAGTCCCTACCACCAGTAACTTACAAATTATAGCCACTGTGAGTCTCTCTTTTCTCCTCACTACCCTACAATTCCCACTTCACCTATGAGAAGGCAGGATCTGCAGTTCCTTGGCTTATTCAAATTCATGAAACGAGTCAGCAGCAGCCCTAGGACTGGAGACATGTTTACATGTAATCCCATCACCAGACCTCAGAGAGGATGGCTGGGACAGAAGTCCCTGCAAACAGACTTCAGTTATTGGCACTTGTCACACTGTTTCATTTACAAACACTCCTCCTTCCACATAGATTTCCTTCCATCTTCTGAGTCTGCTGTCACTGTTTGTTGGCAAAGGCCCCCCCGGTCAAATGCCAGTGACTAGAGAAGCAGCCTCCAGGTAGCCTTGAGTGGTCCTCGCAGTGTGGTTCATGGGCAGGGCTTCACATGGGACAGGCTCCTCCCACTTACCAGCGGAGGGACCTCCCACCCCCAGAGGCTGCACAGAGGCATAGGAAGACCTTCCCACTCCTGAACCCCTTCCCTCTCCAGCCACCTTGCCTTGCTCGCCAGGGTTCATCATTGCACCGTTCATTGCTGCCATGCTATTCCTTCTGCCCAGAAAGCAACCCCTCCCTATCAACCCTACTCACTGTCAACACTCATAGCAGATGCCATCTTCACTGCCATCCCTGCCTGTCCCAGGTTCCCTCCACTCTGTGTTCATGCTCCCACTGTAAGCACTCAGCCCGTTGTGTTACAAAAGGAGAGTCCCTTCTCGATCTCCTTCACACGTGCCTCTGCAATTCTGTGTTAGAGCTGACCCCTCGGCCACACCCAGCACCCAGAGAGTTGGATGATGGTCATTCATCTTTGTTACCTGGCCCCAAGATGGGGCCAAGAAGTCATAGAGGTGGCTCTCCTTGTTTTCAGCAATTTACTTGTTCTAGGCTATGACTTCATAGCGATCTCTGTTTATCAGAATCATTCGTGCATTTATTACAAGCACCTAGGCTCTCAAAATAAGCCTTGGGGCTCCCTCCCTTCCACCTTCCTGTTCCTAACTGTGGCTAAAACAGGACAGTTGAGGAAAACATGAGGGATACATGTCCACAATAATACGTCTTCCCAGACACATTCTTTAATAGCAAAGTCAAGAAACCCTTCCACTAGTTTCACAAAAGACTGAATCTGCCCCTTGACTCTAGCTCTGTGAGTAGTACCTTTATTTTATGGATAAAAATGTGGATAGACTAGAGAAGATTCCAAGAAAAACAAATGAAATTTCAAGAATGCATGACAGTAACCAAAAGCATTTACTTATTTACTTACCTTTTTTTTTATTTAAACAGTTTTTTTGGGGGTAAAATTGCCACACAGTAAGCTACACAGATTTAGAGTAAATAATTTGATAAATTTTGACAAACGTACACACTGTAAAGCCATCAAGATAGTGAATATTTCCACTGCTCTCCCGCCAAAGTTTCCTCTGGCTCTTCCATAGCCCTCCTAACCCCGCCCCCTCAACCACTGAAGCACTGTGACTACAGATTAGTTTGCATATCCTAGAATTGTATACAAATGGATCATTGAGTGAATATACACTTTTGTCTAGCTTATTTTAATCCTCATAATTATTTTAAGATTCATCCAGGTCATGGTGTGTATCAATTATTCATTCCTTTTTATTACTGAGTAGTATGCCATTATGAAGATATATCATTGTAAAGATATACCATTCATCTGTTGATTGACATTTGGATTTTTCCCAGTTTGGGGCTATAGTTAATAAAGCTGCTATGAACATTAGTTTACAAGTTTTGTAAAAACATGTGTTTTAATTTCTCTTGGGTGAATACCGAAGACTGAATGGCTGGGTCATATGGTGTGTGTATGATTGGCTTTCCAAGAAATTTACAAACTGTTTTCCAATGTGATTGTGCCATTTTATATACCCACCACTGTGTGTGAGGGCTCTGGTTCTTTCCCATAGTCACCGACAGTGTTTTAGTTTTACCCACTCTAATAAACAGTAGTATCTTATTATGGTTTTAATTTGCATTTCCCTAGTTACTAATGATGATGAGCATCTTTTCATGTATTTGTTTTCCGTCCATACATCTTCTTTGGTAAAGCCTCTATTCAAATAGTTTGCTCAGTTTTTTTTATTGGGTTGTTTTCTTATTATTGATTTTTGGAAGTTCTTCAAATATTTGGACACAAGTTCTATATTTCCTCCAAGTGAGTGCCTTGTTTTCCTTTTTTTCATTTTCTTAAGAAAAAGAGCAGAAGTTTTTAATTTTGCTGAAGTTCCATTTATCAGCTTATTACTTCGTAACTGTAAGATTATTGATTTAAAACAAAGAAAGCTGAGTGGCTTACAGTATCTAATAATTCAAAGTTTATGCCAAGCCTACTATGTGCCAGGAACTGTTTGGCCCCAAGGAGAAAAAAGTACAAGACATGATGCCTGTTTACACAGAGCTCAATGCACAGTAGGGGAGGTGAAGGGAGAACCTGATTAAATTCGATCCACATTATTGGCACCAGGAGAGAGGGACAAAGAGGGTCATGGAGTTCATGGGAGGCAATGGAAGGAAAAAGGTATGAGAAAGTAAGGTGGGCATTTTCAGCTGGGTCTCACCCTGAGCTCAGGCTTTAGGAAGAAAATTTTCCTTGGCTTTTGGTTTGTTTCTGGGAAGGCCATC
The DNA here is from genome assembly GCF_000001405.40 of Homo sapiens. Taxonomy (NCBI): domain Eukaryota; kingdom Metazoa; phylum Chordata; class Mammalia; order Primates; family Hominidae; genus Homo; species Homo sapiens. Next base: position 78,649,907 of record NC_000010.11, read on the forward strand.
CTGATCATTTGCTTTGTTCATTTCCAAGGAGGATGAAATGTTGAGCAACGGACCTCAATGAAAGCAAGAGAGGTTTGGATCAAATATGGAGCAGAGCTTGATAAAGAGGATGTCAAGACAAGGGGAAAAAAAAGACCAAGAAAGAAGGGGGAAGGAAGATTAGTGGCAAAGAAATATCAAGGGAAGTCTCGACTCATAAAATAGAAATTAATGGATTACAGAGCAAGGACATTAAGAAAGATCTTTAAGAGGTTGCAGGAAATGGGGGAATTAGGGCAAAGCTGAGCTGTCATGTGGAACATTTTACATAACAAACTACTGGTTAAAGCTAATATAAGCTTTATATTATAAAGGGTAAGAGACAGCATGTGCCCAAGAGAGGAGAAATGAGAGACAGGATAATAGTCAGGATCCAAGCCCTGACTCAGAGGCAGCTCACTTGGCTGTGTACTCAATACTCCTAGAGGCCAGGCTATTGTCATCTGGAACTTGGGTCACTTACATGGGCTTGGAACAGAATCCACCAGTCCAGGATGATTTGGTGGATGGAGGGCAGATTTTTTTTTTACTGCAGCATCTTCAGAAGGCCTTTTCAGGTAGTATTTACCTTGGAAGTTGCTTCTTTCCCAAGGGGAAACATTAAAAAATCAGGAGCTACAAACATCTTATCTTCTGCTGTAATGTAGCTTGGAAGTGCAGCAGAGTGCCAGTGGAGAATGGAGAGGGGCTCAGCCAGAGAAATTGCTCCTCGCATATACACTCAGTGAACTGTGTCGCAAAGGGTAAGTCTTCTCAGTTCCAGCATCTGATGGTCATGACGCATGCTGACTGGTAGGAATGGGGATAGCCAGGGTTAGAGACAAGGAGTTGGTGGAGAATTTCCACCTAACATGTAAACTGTGTGATAACAGCTGAAGACGCCATCTGCAGTTGGAATAAAAACCCAGACATGGCCATTCCAACACAAGGCATTGGGGAACATGGGACAGCGAGGGGTACAGGGCATGAGAAGATGACACCAAACCAAAGATGGGAAGCAGACAATCTCATGGCTATCCCGAGGTCTTTTGTTTTTCTGTCTCTACAACTTTAACCCCGGAGCTGTCAATGCCTCTGTTTCCTCTGTGCAATTGAACACAAGGGAACACATACTCCATCTCACGCAGCATCCTCCATCATTCTCAACTATTTTAGTGGAGATTAAAACTGCAGCTAACTGGAAGGTAAAATAAGACTGTGGCTTAAATAAGAGAAAAGCTTGTGTATTTTTTATATAAAAGTCTGGGCAGGCAAATCAAGGGCCAATATTGGGTCCCATTGGGTCAGGGACCCAGGAACTTTCTAGATCTCTATCTCGCCATCTCTGCAGTGTGGCCCTTGCTCTCATAGTCCAAGGCATTTATGTTCCAGGAGAGAGAAAATGGTGAAGAAAGAGGTAAAGGGTGCACTCCAGGTCTCTCAAGGAAAGGACGTGGAAGTTATCACAGGACAGGCACTTCTGCTAACCTCCCACTGACCGGGACTTAGTCACATGGCCATGCAATGTGACTGGGAAGCACAGTCCTGATTCAGAGCAGCCACGCACCCTAATAAACATTCTAATCCAGTGGGAGAAGGGGAAATGGATCTTGGACAACTAGTAGTCTGACATGTTGACTAATCAGTCACAAAGTCCTAAATAAGGGAAAACACAAAGACATCATCATGTATTGACCTGCACGCTACTTGGCAATTGCCATGAAGTTTCTGGCACCCAGAGTGGGCACACCAAATAAATAATTCCCCATTAGAGGAGTCTGGGAGGGCAAAGCAGAAGCTAGGACTTGAAAGGGAGTTTATAGGACAGAGTTAAAAAGGAAAGGGGCAAAGCGAGGGTGGAATCATGCTCTGGGGGCTATGTTCTCCAGTGTAGCTGAGAAGCTGGGGAACCTGGGGGAATAATGAGGAGAAAAGCAGCAATTTGAGTGTGCACATTGGGAGAAAAGTCGAGAGAGAGAAAGAACAGAAATGGAGTATGGCACATGAGCCGAGTGATGGGTTGGGGTTTTTGTCTTTTGATGGTAGGGAAAGAACTTCACATTGAATAAGTTCTTCTTAAACACTTGCTCTATGCACGGTCTCATATTGGGACCATGAAATAAAGGAGGAGAAACAAGACAGAGTCCCTGCCCTCAGGGAACTTCCAGTCTCAGCATGTAAACTTGTATACCTTACAATGCTATATAGTACTTTTGAACCGACCTCTTCAAAAATTTCATCTTAGTTTATAAACATGGTAGCTGAAATATTTACCAAACAGATATTCAATAGATCAAGATCTGACATCAGACACTGGCTTTTAACTCATCCTCTGTCACCTACATGGTGACTTTTTAGCACCAAAAGTTCCATATCCTGGACAAACTGAGATGGTTGGTCACCCTTGCTATGTATAAGCTTCATGTTCTTGGGCAAGTTACTTGACCTCTTCCGATCTCAGTTTCTTCAACTGGAAAATGGGAATAATAATCATTTTGGCCTTTCATGATAGTCATGGACATTAAATGGGAATATGTTAATCGGGCTTAGCAGAGTGCCTAGCACAAGTGTTAATATTATCCTTTATGGTTACTCTTAATAGAACTGTTATGGAGCTGATGGAGTCACATATATTTTACCCACAATCTTCTGGATGAAAACTACATGCTGCACTGGAATAAGTGAACTTGAGTATTTATGATGGTTTTGTAACATATTTCTCAGGAATGGCAAGGAGCTACTGTTACTGGAAAATTTTCTTTTCAAATTCAATATACATCTCCAATTTCCCTTCTTTCATCTTCTCTGTATACTAATCATTTTTCCCATTGTCATGGGATCTGAAATAAGAATATCTTGTGAACATCCATGTAAAGTAATTGTCTGAAATGTTATAATAAATTTGCTTTTAAAAGGCAATTTCAAGTAGGTTATAGGAATGATAGGAAAATCTTTTTTAAACTTCCTGTTTTTATTCACTCCTTCTTTCAATGAGTATTTAATTGTGCTATTATTCGCTGTCAAGCAACATGCCAGGCGCTGGGTACACAAGAATAAAAAGCCCCAATCTCTGCTCTTAAGGAACTCCCCTGAAGAGATGGATCATATATTGCATATGAGCAATAAATACAGAGATGCAGGTGCTCACCAGGCTGATGAGAATCCCTCAATGTACTTGACAGAATCAGATAGAGTTTCTAAAAGAAGTATTGGATGAGCTAACTCCTGCATTCCAGGTGAACAGAGAAGGTGCATAATGGGAAAGGCACTGAAGTAAAAAGCCCCAGCGCCGTTCAGGTGACTATTGGGGTTCAGATGATGCAGAAGAGGGTGGTGGAGACTTTGTTGGCAAATTCATCCAACAAATATTTGCTGAGTACCTATTATATGAATGGTATCATTGAATATACAAGACACAGATGCTGTCCTTGGAAAGCTTAGGACTTAGAAGGGGAAATAAGATGCACACACAAACAACTAATGCAAGATACCTGTTATGGATTGAATGTTTATGCTTCCCTCAAATTCATATGTTGAAGCCCTAACCCCCAGTGTGGCTGTATTTGGAGACGGAGGCTCTAAGGAAGTAAATAAAATTAATTGAGGCCATAAAGTTGGGGCTCTGATCCCATAGGATTAGTGTCCTTGTAAGAAGAGGCACCAGAGAGTGCTCCCTACCCCACACCCCAAACTGAGCATGCACTGAGGAAAGTGAGAAGGTGACTCTCTGCAAGTCAGGAAGAGAGCCTCACCAGACACCGAACTGGCTGGAACCTTGTTCTTGGACTACCAGCTTCCAGATGTGAGAAAATTAACCCCCGTTGTTTAACTCATCCAGTCTGTGGTATTTTGTTATAGCAGCCTGAGCTGACTAATACCAATAGCCATGATGTGACACAGGGGGAAGGAACAAAGTAGCACTGAACTCAGAGGAGTGGAGATATCTGCTGCCTCAGGGAGCCAGAACCAACTTGCAGGTGTTTAGGTGAACTTGATAGTAGGAGAACATTCCAGCTATTGGAAGTGTCCTGGGCTAGCTGGTAGCATGAAAACTCACAGCTTTCACTTGTCTGGAGGATCTGGCATGTGTGATGCAGAAGCATGCAGGACACACTGAGGTCATGTTGTGAAGGGCTTTGAAAGTCAAGATGAAGACTCTGGGCTTCCTTGAGGAGGCATGAGGGCACATTGGTGGTTTTAAACAAGCAGAGTTTCATTTAGCACTATTCCTTGGGCTGAGTAACCTGGAGGTCCCTGGAAAGGCTCAACCCTAGAAGTGATTGCAGCAACGCAGGTGAGGATGCAGTGTAGGGCAACAGAGGTGGCATGTGGCAAGAGAGATCCAGGAGGTCAGATCAACTACATTTGGCAACTTTTGGATTTGGACCAGAGAAAGGTGGAAAATAAATGTTAATAATAAGAGAGTTGAAAACAAGGTAAGCTCATAAAATCAACTTGCTGACTTGTCAATTTGTAGATCACTTACTCCTAGAGTAGTCCACGTGAAACTTAGGCTGAATGGTCGGCACCAGGCAAAGACTTCACTTCCTTCTGTTATGCCTGGCTGTTGTCCAGTCTGGAACCTGAGTGATGAGGCTACTAAAAGTGAGCATGCAACCAGGAGTAGAATGAGCTCTAGGGCAAGGGTGATGTTTTCCTTCTTGATTATTTCAGCCTGAAGTGGGACCAAGCAGTTGAAAAGTACCACTGCCTCTCAGAGAGATGGAAGCCAAGAGAGTGGATCTGGAAGTCCAAGTGCTTAGAGGAACACTCTTGTGATGGAGACAGAAAAAGACAGCAGAAGATCTGGGAACAGCCTGCATTTAGAATGTTAGAGAAGGAAGGAGAAACATAAGAGGAGACTAAAGTCTTTAGAATAATTGGGCTACAAACCAGGATAATGTTCAGGGACCATTGGAGGAAGGACCCAATGGAGGAGGGAATTTCAGGAAAGAATCATGGTCAGTTGTGCCAATGACTGCAAATTATAGGAAATGAGGAAAGGAAAAATATTACATTTATGATGAGACTCAGCAGCCCCATTCCTGGAGAAGAGAATAAACAGCTCTCTGTACTGGACAGCTGAATTCTCCCCTTGCTGAGGAAGAGGTTCGAACAGACAAGCCCCCAGGGCCCCTTGGCTGAGCCCACACACTTTGGTCTCTCATACTCTGATGGGACTTTTTTCTTACCTGGATTGCAATGAAAGGTGTGCACAGGAGGTACAGTGAGCAAATCCGTACTCAGAGAAAATGCTAGAGTTGTCGCAGCCCATTTCAAAGACCTTGAGTGTTCACTGCATTGCCTCCCAAACTTTAACATGCATAGGGAGAATCCAGTTTATGATTTAGGGGATCTGGGGCAAGGTCTGAGAATCCTCATGCCTCGCAAGCTTCCAGCAGCTGCTGCTATACCTGCTCACTCAACTGCACTTGAAATCACAAAAGTCTAGAGCACAGCAACTAACTGGTGGTCCTGGCACCACTTGCTTCATCCAAATGTGTTTCTTTGACCAGCATAATCTTCTAAAAAATTAGATTTACTTGAAAACATCTAAAAATGTGCAGATTTCACGTTTTAATAATTCCAAATTCTGTCTTCTCTTGAAACCCTCAGGAGATGTGGCCATCCTGCCCTTACATGCTGGAACACAGCAAGTGCTGGAGCTGACCTGTGGCTGCCCATTTTAGACAGTTTCAATGCCCTCCAGCCTGCCCAAGTCCTCATGCCCAGGCCCACTGCACACCCCCATTGACACTGTCTCCTGGCCCATGCAACCCCAGAGTTTTCCACTTCTCATCTAGAGCCAGCCCCTCACTCAACAGAGGAGAAATGAACCCTAGAGAGGGCATGGGATGAGCGGGTGCTGCCACTGTTAAAAGCAGCACTGTGTTTCTGCACCCCAGGGTTTGTGCTCAGTAACTGTTTACTGAATGACCAAATACCCTTTTCCATTATTGTGCTAGGGTCAACAGCTGATGCTGGTGTCCACCCACGGTGCCCCCCTACCCTGGCCACAGCACACCCCCCTTTATCGATCTCCTTGATTAATAAACAGTCCATGTCAGAGAACAGGAGCCTAAATCACACATCTCTTTGTGCCTTTCTCCAGATTTCTTCTTTTGTTTCTTGGGGAGAGGCTGAGGCAAGTCAACTCACAAAAATGTGCTTCCACTGAATGGGATCCTGGAGTTTATCTAATAGGCAGGTTGGGAAAAATGAAAACGCTAATTACTTCAGGGAAAGATGGAAAATGAGTCAGCTGATTGGGCCACCAGGCAGCCAGTAGGAGCTGATTTTTTTTTTTTTTAAAGAGGATAATGACTTATTCTAGGGGATTTCAGTTGTGCACACACAACAAAAATAATTCCAAGTGTCTGCTAGCAAAATCCCACGCTGCCGAACATCGCGTTTGAAAATTAATGTGACAAGCTGGAGGCCTATTTGCCCCAAGATCAGAAGACAATGAAAGCTTCCTCCCCAGGAAGTTTCTCAGGGTAGAACCAGAAATCCGGAACTGGAGAACCCAGAGGGCAACGCCCCACCGGAGCCAGTGGACGGGAATCAGCTGGGACGCCATGCTGCCCTCCTTTGTCTGGGTGATCAGGCCCAGCCTCCCGAGTTACTGATGATCCATATGGAAGCTGGTGGGGCTGCACATTAATTGCCTTGTTCAACCCATCATTAAAATGATACGTCTCGCCTTCGGGAGCTGTGCTGGCTGGCGGCGAGTTGGGCACACCTCCTGGGTAGAGAGGTCTCCCAACAGGGCCCTACACACGCTTCTTTCTGAAGAGTTGCACGGTGATTTGGGGTTCATGCTGGTGCCATTGGACTCTAGGAACCAAGGACCCCAGGGCCCTTGCTCCCACTCTCCTTTCTAGCGGGCAATGGAATTAATGAACCCCGGGCAGCCCTGGATGCAGGGCACACTCGGTCCTTTACAGCTCTTTGTCTGCAGCCAGGCTCTTGTCTTTCAGAGCTGGCTGCCGCCCCGTCTCTGGAGCTGATGCAGCAGCCAGATAATGAACAGTATATCAGCGGAGGCGGCGGAGGGGGGCGACGGGGAGAGAGGCGAGCGCCCGAGCGAGTTGGACTGACTTATTATTCCTTCACTCTCAAACAAAACAAAATCATTGGCCTGCCAGGGTCATTAAGGACCCCGGGGTTGTCATAGAAACGACCTTTGGGGCCTGGTGGTTGTTAATGCATGAGTGACTGCCTGCATTGTGTGTGTGGGGAGAGGTCAGAGTTTTGTTGGTGGCTTAAGAAAGAAAGAAAGAGAGTGAGGAAGAAAGAGAGCCAGCACAAAGCCCAGGATTGGGCGGCTGACATTCAGAAGGAAGGTTGTCCGCCGTGGCATTGATTAGCTGTCTGGGATGGTGAAAGTCCTGTGCCCGGCACATAGTAGGTGCTCAGTAAATGTCTGCAAAGGTGAATGGACACGTTTCTCTGGTTAAAAATGCCCTCCTATGCCCACTCTGAATTCCACCTCCCCGTAACCCGGAAGCCACTCTGCCAATGCTCTCCCTGAGAGTGCTTAGACAGGTAATGCTCCATCATTGTTCCAGCCGAGAGTAACAAACTCACAAGTTTCAGGAGGCACTTCTATGCCTTCAACTTGGACAGGACAATTTTCATGGTTCCCAGGGACCCAGGAGGAACTCGTTGGGGTGGGTGGGCAGGGGCTTTTACAGAGGAGAAATATAGGACAACAGGGCCTCCTCTGTCAGCCTTGGATTTACAGATGCGCCTTCAACCCACTTTCTAACCAGGGCACTCTGTCCCCTGCCAGGAGACACTGAGCACCACCCGTGAGACGGAGCTCCCCCTACTGGCTGGTGTTCAGAGAGCTCAATCTCCAGGGGTTGACTCTCTCCAGCTTGTCGGGTTTCAGAACCAGCCCTGCTACTAACTCTCTGTGTGTCCTCTTGCAAGTCCTCCTTCCTCAGTTTCCTCACCTGGAACATTAGACATGGTCCAGATGACATCTACAGCCCATCCCAAGCCTTCTGTTCTGATGCCTCTGGGTGGGGGTGGGGGGTGGGGGGGGTGTCTTTTCTGAATTTAGGATTTTACTTTCCAGGTTGGAAGAAAACATTCTAGCCACCTTTTGGGGGTGATTATAGAACCATTTGATCTCTGAGATGTCTAAACCTGGTTGCCTTCTCTGGTGTCACCATAGAAGTGAGGAGGCCCGGGCCTTTCAAGATCCTCTAACACTGTACTGCTTATGTTAACTGTAACACCATGTCCCCTGATAGCCTCTTGAAGTCTCCTTGTCACATTTGGAGGCCAATCCCAGGACCTGCCCACTGGAGACACACTCACTTAGCATTTACTACTAGAGTAGCTTCTTCTTAAAAATAGTTTCAGGAATCTGTCTGAAACCTTACCTGGCAGATTCTCAGATCTTTGCTCAAGCAAACCAGACTATCACTCACAGAATCCCTTCTTCAGCTCATGGACCCCAGAACACAATGGCTGCAAAACCCAGGTCTCTGATGTGGGCCCAGAACGAACAAACACCTCATCTCAGTGAATCGCAAATGCCTGCATTGCACATCTGTGCTCTTTTGCAAGGACTTTGCTGGGATTCGTGATGAGCACACCTATTACAGAATCTGGAGTGAGAGTGCCCAGTACAGCGGGGGTGGGGGGGTCCCTTGTGGGCAAAGGACCATCACATTCATCTACAGCACTGAGCCTGGTTCCTGCCCTGGAGTAGCAATAAGATATTGGAGTGAATGTTTGGTTCCAGTCTTTCATTTAATTCTTATAAAAAGGCAAGCAGCTACATCCCCCACAGAGCAGATGAGGTATCAGACAGGAGGAAGTGTGACTTGTCCAAGGTCACAGGAGGAGCAACTTTAGAAGCCGGACCCACAAGCTCCAGTCTGTTATGGCTCCGCCCACAGTGCTGCCGAAGCTGTCACCTGCGTGAGTACCAGAGAGTAAGAAGCGAAGAATCTTGTTATTTATGCTCATGTTGCATAAAATGTTATGCTCAGATAGAGTCAGTTTACCTTTGTTTTTGTTTTTAAAATCTGCACAACTGATTTGCATAACTGTCAGGGCCATGGCCTGGCACCTGTTCCCCTGTGTGTACAACAGAAAGGAGACTTTTGCCTACAGTCGAGCATGTTTTACTTCCTTTCTCATTAGTTGCAGAAAGAGAGAGGACTGTGCCCAGCTTGGACTCCAGTTCAAATCCCACTAAAACATGCTGAATCCTCTGTTTGGCATAAAACACGCTGAATCCTCTGTTTGGCATAAAACACCCAACTCAGATTGTTGACATATATTCTCTTTTCAACAAACTGCATCTTCTCAAATAAGTGAGAAGACAAAAATCCATCGAGTTTCCTGGTTTCCAGAGGTAAGAGAATTCAAGAGCAAACACTTCAGCATGCTGGAGCTTAAGTTTCCAAGAAAAGAAATGAGGAGTTGCTGATTTGGAGAAAAGGCCCCAGGCTAGACATGACTAGCTTACCTGGGGTTGCAATTGCTTCTAGCTCATGTGGTAACCTTTCACAAGTCACTTCCCCTTGTAGAGTCTATTTCTACTTTTCTAAAACATAAGGGAGCCCAAACTTTGAAATGTTGTAATTCTGAAGCTTAGGTTCCTATAAAGGATGATAAACTCCAGAGTATTTGTATTTAATGAAGTTTAACACCAGGTTATAAAATAGAGCTTCCTGGGAGAATGAGCCATCATCTAAACCAGCAGAATTGAACAGAGTGTTTTACTTTGCATTAATATGTTCCCTTAGGGACAAGGACAAAACCCAACATTGTAAAAAATGTCTTGAATATTTGCATATTGCATATAGAATATTTGCATGCAGTATTTATGTAAAGCATGATGCTTATTTTTCAGGGTGGGAAGGGGGAAATCTAGTAACTTGCTCAGTATCAGGTGCTTTTCATACAGCATTGAATCTTCAGCAACCCAAAGATGCATGGTATTCATTGAACCTCTAGAGAAACTGAAGGCCAGAGTAGGGACTTACCCATAGTTACCTGGTAAAATGCAGGGATATCCTTATTCCTTTACAGCACTTTTCTCTCCTACAACTTAACAACATTCACAGTGTAAGAGATATGCCTGGAATAATGTAAAAGAAATGAATTTAGCTCAGTGGGTTTTTATTCATATTCCTCTCTAGGTGGAAGTTTAGACAAGGTGGCCTCTAAGATCCATTTCACCTTTTTCTTTTTTTTTTTCTTTTTTTGAGATGGAGTCTCGTTCTGTCACCCAGGCTGGAATGCAGTGGCACGATCTTGGCTCACTGCAACCTCCGCCTCCCGGGTTCAAGCGATTATCCTGCCTCAGCCTCCCTGAGTAGCTGGGATTGCAGGTGTGTACCTCCATGCCCAGCCAATTTTTGTATTTTTAGTGGAGATGGGGTTTCAGCCTGTTGGCCAGGCTGGTCTCGAACTCCTGACCTCGTGATCCACCTGCCTCAGCCTCCCAAAGTGCTGGGATTACAGGCGTGAGCCACCATGCCTGGCCCAATCCATTTGACTTTTAAACCCTAACTTTCAGTTACTCATTTAAACAGTATTTACCAAGATGAATTCTGAAACATAACACACCCAAGAAATATTCCAGGGAAAGCATGTTTTGTGGTCAAATATGTTTGGAAAATATTGCAAGTTGTATCCTCAATTAGAGACTTACAGTGCACATTACAAAATATCAAAGGCTCTGATAAGGCCTACAACAAAAGCTTGCATAACTGTTTGATCCATTTGCCAAAATTATTGCATTCTGAACCCACATAACACTTATGAACATTTAATGAAATGACTTTGCTATTTAACACACTTGGAAAGCATTAGAATAATTGTAAAGTTTATGAATCTGCATCTCCCTCGTGTCTTGCCTTCTATCCTCTCTGCGAGCAGAGAAACAGTGGCCCTCAGGAAGGGTCATGGGCAGGGAGAGAGGATGAGGGGAGAGAGTCCATTTAAGGTTAACCAGGGCTCGTGTCCAGCTTCTGCTTGGAAGACCGACTCACCCGCTGCTCTTAAAATGCTGGGAGAGTCCACTCATGAAAAGCAAGAACCTGGATCAACTCTGATTTCCTCCATGAGAAATAGTCATTGCTCCAGCAGTCTCGGAAACTTTGATACGATAAATATTTTGATGCTTTCTGTATATTTATATAAGCCCATTTATTGATGAAAACAAAATGTGTCACATTTCTGTTTTGATCAGCCCTTTTAAGGAATTTCCCCACTCCTTTCCATTCTAAGCTGGAAACACCCAAATCTATACACAATAGAGTCTCACTGGACATGTCATTTATGGAAGTTGTTCCCTTGACTTGACTTAGTTAATTCCAGTGCATCCTTTATATCACAGCTTATATGTCACTTCCTCCTGGACTGGTTCCCTGCCTGCAGACTAGATTTAGTCTGCTTTTTCTGCTTCTAGGACAGCCTGGGATAGTCTGTGAGAGCAGTCATTAGGGCTGATAATTATATAGCCCTAAGAGTTTCTTTATAAATGTCTGATTCTCTCACTAGACTGTCAATCTCATGAGGACAAGGGCCATGCCTATTTGTTCATACTGCTTCCCAAATACTTAGCATGGACTGGCTAAATAGGCACTAACTAAATATTTGTTGGATGAGTGAATGAATGAACAAATTTCCATGTGAAGAAACAGGCTTCATCTGCCTGGACCCTACATCAATCTTTTGTACTCCTGTGCTACCAACTGTGATTTTGCTCTTCTATTTAAACTCTATTTCACCCGTCAAGTTTGATACATGATCTTATGTCTCTCAATGCCTGGCCTTGCCTCCCTCTCTTGCCACCTCTTTGGATACATCACTCACAAGCCGCTAGGCAACGCCCACCCATCATAACCCTTCTTCTACCCCACTGGGCTGACCCCAATCAGATTTCCTGCCCATAGGAAGACCACCAGAGGGGTTTGTGATTTGTTACCTACAAATAAAATCATTGACCTTCCAATATCAAAGCTACCTTAAAGGTCACTTGTTCAATTTCACCTTTTGTCTGATGAAGAGAGCGGGAATCAGACAAGATAGGTGAATTGTCCTTGGACAGAGAGCAGGAGGAAAAAGGAGTCCCTGGGATCCATTCCATGTCAGCATTCATTTCAAAACGGTGTCTGCTTGTTCATTTTTTAAAGTAAAAATTTAAATTGGTACATGCATGACATTCAAGAAGCATAAAAGGATTCTAAAATGCTATACAAAGAGTGCTCATTACACTGTATGTTTATACTGTCACTTACTCCCATTTTACTGATGAGGAAACTGAGCCTTATAATTACTAAATAGTGCCTCTAGGACTTGAACTCAAGCCTGCCTCTTCAGAGTCCTTTACTTTACTGAACCCTAAACACATGTAATTGGTTCAAGCTAAAGTGGCCTTCTATAAGCTCTAGACCCTGAGCTACTTAGAAACAAGATCACAGCCTGGCGCGGTGGCTCACGTCTGTAATCCCAGCACTTTGGGAGGCCAAGGCAAGTGGATCACCTGAGGTCAGGAGTTCAAGACCAGCCTAGCCAACTTCGTGAAGCCTTGTCTCTACTAAATATACAAAATTTAGCCAGGCATGGTGGCAGGTGCTGTAATCCCAGCTGCTCAGGAGGGTGAGGCAGGAGAATCACTTAAACCCAGGAGGCAGAGGTTGCAGTGAGCCGAGATTGTGCCACTGTACTTCAGCCTGGGTGACAGGAGTGAAGCTCCATCAAAGAAATAAAGAAACAAACAAACAAACAAACAAACAAACAAGACCACATACACCTTATTTATCTTTGGCAACACCAGTTCCTAGTTCAATATATTGTCACATAATAGGTCCTAAATAAACATTTAAAGGATGAATAAATTAATGAGGAAATTCACAATAATTAAAAGTTTGAAGCAACAGTTAGCATAGCATGATTTTCATGAACGATGGGCAGGGCAAAGAAGACAAGGCTATACATTTATCTCAAAAACTCATAGTGGCTAGAGAGAAACATTTGCCTCCTTAAGCTGAATGAACTTGTAGAGAATAATTTTTTTTGCTGCAAATGCTTAGGATATAAAAATCTGTATATATCTTGTTGAAACAGCCTAGATATGAGCATAATTGCAGTGATGTGTTACTCTCCAAATTAGAAACTAGAAATGGTGGTGGAAGGAAGGTAGGAATCATGGAGGGACACATGTCCTCTTCTTACCATTAAAGTTGATATAACCATTAAACTCTATATAATCATTACACACACGTGTATGTATGGTGTGTATGTACAGTATTAACCAACTGCTTTGAGAAAATTGTATGAAAGGTTAGACTGTTGAGAATCTGCATGCATGAATTTGAATATATGGGAGGAAGTGTGATTTTAATGCTTTTGGATATATATCTTAACCCTGCCTTGGAGGTTTTCAAGAAGTAGTTTCAATAAATGTAATTTGCCTTGTAATTAACACATTGAATGCTTCTAAAGTGCCCTCTTTGTCTTTTTTTTAATAGTTTTAAGCCATCCTTTGTCTTGACATTTGTCACTTGCTGAAATAATCCCTCTTTTCCATTTATACCACAAAGGTGAACCTCACCCAAGCCCCAGCATGGTGAAACTCAGAAATTCCAGGAGGAGAGGGTATTTAAAGTGAAGTCATGTGATATGTAGAATTGTGGCCCCTGCCCCACAGGACTTTGAAGACTATAAATGTTAAAGTATGATATACGTCAGTTAGCACCTTGTTTGGCATGCAGTCCTTGCTCAAAACCCAGCAACTATGTATTGAAGCTGAGTGGGGTGGGGGGTGAACCAGGCTGAAAGTGGGGAAGACAAGGCAGAAGAATGGGCTGTAGACCAGATAATGTTCATTTTCCCCAGGGCTCCTAGGATTGTTTTGGTAATTACTCCAGCTTCTTCAACAGCTTGTGATTTGTCCAGTGCCAGGGAACCTGAATTTGCATTGCACAATGCATAATTCATACGGCATGGAGAGCAATTATGAGCTAATTGAGGGTTGTAATGTTTAAAGACAGGACTCATTATCAGGAACATAAGGGATGTTGGGAGGGGAGAAGCTCTGGAGTCCATGGAGGCTCGTTCCCTCTAATTCCGCTTTCCTTAAGATGACTGTAATTGTCTCTTGAAGGGCACTGAAGTTCTCTCCTAGAAGAGGTTCTGGAAGCTGGGCAGCGGTAGCTGCTCCTCCTACTAGAAGAGGGCTGAAAGTGGGCTAGGATGGGCTCCTCCTTCTAGTGCTTTTGTTTGCCTAGTCGTCCACCTTGCCATGTTGACACAGTTATCTGGATTAATATGATTAGAGGGATGTGATGTTCCCATAACTACAATTTCCACTTCCTGGGGGTAGGGACAGTCTGGGAAATATAATTTGGTGCAGAACTTATGGAATTTCCAATAGAAAATCATCTCTTCCAGAAATTATAGGACAGTCCATTTAAATAGAAACTTCATTGGAAAATCCAGGAGCTGGGCTATGAAATTATAAGGAACCCTGGGCTGGTAGCAATAAGCTTTGAATCTACTAATGACTAGGTTAACCTCTCACTGAAAGGCTCTTGGAACATTACCACCCCTCTCTGGCCCTCAGTTTCTCCATCTGTACAATGAGGAAATTGAGTGAGACGGCCTTCTAAGGTCCTCCCAACTCTGATATGTTGTTTCTGTGCATCACACCTCATCCTTCTGACTCAAGGTTTTAAAGTATCTTGACAGGTCAGCCTTTTTTCTTTGGAAACCAGCTGTGTGCTCTTTAAAACTCAGAAGACATAGTGTGATTGTTACATGCAACAGAAACATTTTTAAGTTGGTTGTATAAGAATATAGCCAAATAAATCACTTTTCCATTGGCTTTCATTACAAAATCAGATATGGTGCATATCTCAAAATACTGAATCAAAGATATTTTAAGTGTTTGTATCAGCATTTACTCTCTCTGGTGTGTGGGAAGTTGTGATAAGTTGAGTCATGGTGTGCTGTTTATGTTTTGCCACCTTTTCAGAACTCCACAGACCTTAGCATATCTCTCATTTAAGGATTGTTTCAGCATAGACTTTTTGGCGTTTACTTTTTATTCTCAACCAAATATTTTGATATCATATGAAGTACTCCCCTTTACAAGCTAGCTGTAATTACCACGACTACTTGAGCTGGGCTGCAATATCATACCTCACCAGTAGAGGCCACTTTCTGATACATGATACACATAGCCTGAAGTCCAAACAATCATGGGCTAATACTAAGGGTAGAAGAGGTCTTTAAGATCATTTTGTCCCAATAAGCCTTATAAATAGTTCCATGCCTTATCACATCTGAAAATTACACATTTTGTAAAACTAACGTGCTTAAACTGAAGAGTGCCTGTCATTGACTCTCATGTAGCTTGCACAGTGTCTCTTCATTTAAACAGGGCACCTGGCCAGTTTGCATGCCTTTTGAATAATGAGGACATTTGGCATATTCAAGGTGGAGATTGTGTTATTCTCTGCCTGTGGTGCTAATGCAGCTATTTATACTAGGAGCCAAAGCAGATCTTTCACCGGAAAGTTGGGCTGTCATGTCTGTTTAAGCATTCAAACCAGCTCCACAGCTTATTTGAGAAGACTTTCAAATGGGTTTTCGTCCAGGGTAATTGATCACCTGCAGGCTAAGGATTTCTTTCTTTTCTTTCCTTTTTTTCTTCAAATAGCTTTTCCAACAATTTAAGAAACTCTTCCTTAAACCTCAAGAAAGACAGAAAGACAACCTTAAGAAAGTGAGTGTCTACTTACAAGGTCTAGTTTTGGGAGCTTCAGGGTCAACAGTCAGGATACACCAGACAAAGGAAACTCTTATTTACCTTGGAGAATGGGCAGCAATAAATTCACGGCTGACTTTTCAGATCATCTTTCTCCACTGCAATCATAGGCAGCAGCTCCAGAAAACAAACTCATTCCCTTAGCAAGCAGCAGAGATGTTCTGGTTGGCCCCAGTTGGCTTCTTTGGGCAGGAGGATTGATGGCCTCTGCTGTTACATCCTGGTGAGAATAACCACTCATGAACACCCCATATTTAATCTTTATTTTGGAGTCTTCTTAAGCGAGAAATTGCAGTAAAACAAAATAGCCATGTTGCTCCAAGGGTTAATTAGACATAGCCCAGAAAAAGCGATTTCCCTCTTTCTGCCTTAAATTTTAGGGTTTTCATGCTGAGTGACTGTTGGCTTCTGCCCAATGGAATAAGATAAATGGGAGTTCCTGATTCGGATTCCCCTCTGTTCCCAGCTGTTATTTCTCAGTTTTCTAAAAAGGGGGAAACTCTTTGAACCTGCTGCTGTTCACAAACCTGGGACTTGACTCTCTCCCCTTTTGGTTTGGGTCCCGGTATCTTTAGGAGGAGATGATCAGAGTCCCTCTCTCAATGGACTTGTCATGCTGATGTTAAAATAATTTCCATCTCCTTTCTCCCTTCCTCAATCAGGCTGAACATTTTAATTATGAAATTGGCCACTGTGTTCTGGCTTTTTCATTGAGTTGTGAGTTGTCCAAAGTGACATCAAGATCTTTTCTCTTTTTTTCCCTCAAAGGTTATAACTAATTCAAAATCCATCAGTTCTTGCAAACACTTTGAATTGTTCCCTTAAACTTAAAACAAAATTTACAAGAAATAAACAACCCCATAAAAAAGTGGGCAAATGACATGAACAGACACTTCTCAAAAGAAGACATTCATACAGCCAACAAACATGAAAAAAGCTCATCACTGATCATTACAGAAATGCAAATCAAAACCACAATGAGATACTATCTCACACCAGTTAGAATGGTGATTACTAAAAAGTCAAGAAACAACAGATGCTGGCAAGGTTGCAGAGAAAAAAGAAAGCTTTTACACTACTGGTGGGACTGTAAATTAGTTCAACCATCATGGAAGACAGTGTGGCAATTCCAGAAAGATCTAGTAGCAGAAATACCATTTGACCCAGCATTCCTATCACTGGGCATATACCCAAAGAAATATAACTCATTCTATTATAAAGATACATGCGTGTGTATGTTGATTGCAGCACTGTTCACAATAGCAAAGACATGAAATCAACCCAAATGCCCATCAATGGTAGGTTGGAAAAAGAAAATGTGGTACATATAGGTGGCTGGCAAGATGACTGAGTAGGAACAGTTCTGGTCTCCAGCTCCCAGTGAGATCAACACAGAAGGCAGGTGATTTCTGCATTTCCAACTGAGCCTCCACTGGTGATACCCAGGCAAACAGGGCCTCATGTGGACCTCCAGCTAACTCCAGCAGACCTGCAGCAGAGGGGCTTGACTGTTAGAAGGAAAACTAACAAACAGAAAGGAATAGCAGCAACATCAACCAAAAAGACATCCACACAGAAACCCCATCCGAAGGTTACCAACACCAAAAACCAAAGGTAGATAAATCCACGAAGATGAGGAAAAACCAGCATAAAAGGCTGAAACTTCCAAAAACCGGAATGCTTTTCTCCTCCAAAGAATCACAACTCCTCGCCAGCAAGGTAACGAAACTGGGTGGAGGATGAGTTTGACGAATTGACAGAAGTAGGCTTCAGAAGGTGGGTAATAACAAACTCCTCCGAGCTAAAGGAGCATGTTCTAACCCAATGCAAGGAAGTTAAGAACCTTGAAAAAAGGTTAGAGGAATTTCTAACTAGAATAACCATTTTAGAGAAGAACATAAACGACCCGAAGGAGCTGAAAAACACAGTATGAGAACTCCGTGAAGCATACACAAGTATGAATATCTGAATCAATCAAGCGGAAGAAAATATACCAGAGATTGCAGATCAACTTAATGAAATAAAGTGTGAAGACAAGATTAGAGAAAAAAGAATGAAAAGGAACAAACAAAGCCTCCAAGAAATATGGGACTATGTGCAAAGACCAAACCTACATTTTATTGGTGTACCTGAAAGTGACAGGGAGAGTGGAACCAAGTTGGAAAACACTCTTCAGGATATCATCCAGGAGAACTTCCCCAATCTAGCAAGACAGGGCAACATTCAAATTCAAGAAATATAGGGAACAGCACAAAGATATTCCTCAAGAAGAGCAACCCCAAGACACATAATCATCAGATTCACTGAGGTTGAAATAACGGAAAAAATGTTAAGCACAGCCAGAGAGAAAGGTCGGGTTACTCACAAAGGGAAGCCCATCAGACTAACAGCAGATCTCTTGGCAGAAACCCCACAAGCCAGAAGAGAGTGGGGGCCAATATTCAACATTCTCAAAGAAAAGAATTTTCAACCCAGAATTTTATATCCAGCCAGGGTAAGGCTTCATAAGCAAAGGAGAAATAAAATCCTTTACAGACAAGCAAATGCTGAGAGATTTTGTCACCACCAGGCCTGCCTTACAAGAGCTCCTGAAAGAAGCACTAATTATAGAAAGGAAAAACTGGTACCAGCCACTGCAAAAACATACCAAAGTGTAAAGACCATCGACACTATGAAGAAACAGCATCAACTAATGGGCAACAAAACCAGCTAGCATCATAATGATAGGATCAAATCTCACATAACAATATTAACCTTAAATGTAAATAGGCTAAATGCCCCAATTAAAAGACACAGACCAGCAAATTGGATAAAGAGTCAAGACCCATCGGTGTGCTGTATTCAAGAGCACAATAGCCATCTCACATGCAAAGACACACATGGCTCAAAATAAAGGGATGGAGGAATATTTACCAAGCAAATGGAAAGCAAAAAAAAAAAAAAAAAAGCAGGGGTTGCAATCCTAGTCTCTGATAAAACAGACTTTAAACCAACAAAGATCAAAAGAGACAAAGAAGAGCATTACATAGTGGTAAAGGGATCAAAAGAGACAAAGAAGAGCATTACACAGTGGTAAAGGGATCAACGCAACAAAAAGAGCTAACTATCCTAAATATATATGCACCCAATACGAGAGCACCCAGATTCATAAAGAAAGTTCTTAGTGACCTACAAAGAGACTTAGACTTTCACACAATAATAGTGGAAGACTTTAACACCCCACTGTCAATACTAGACAGATCAACGAGACAGAAAATTAACAAAGATATTTAGGATTTGAACTCAGCTCTGGACCAAGTGGACCTAATAGACATCTACAGAACTCTCCACCCCAAGTCAACAGAATATACATTCTTCTCAGCACCACATTGCACTTAATTGACCACATAATTGGAAGTAAAGTACTCCTCAGCAAATGCAAAAGAACGGAAATCATAACAAATAGTCTCTCAGACCACAGTACAATCAAATTAGAACTCAGGATTAAGAAACTCACTCAAAACTGCACAACTGCATGGAAACTGAACAACCTGCTCCTGAATGACTACTGGATAAATAACAAAATTAAGGCAGAAATGAGTAAGTTCTTTGAAATCAATAAGAACAAAGACACAACATACCAGAATCTCTGGGACACAGCTAAAGCAGTGTGTAGATGGAAATTTATAGCACTAAATGCCCACAGAAGAAAGCAGGAGAGATCTAAAGTCAACACCCTAACATCACAATTAAAAGAACTAGAGAAGCAGGAGCAAACAAATTCAAAAGCTAACCGATGACAAGAAATAACTAAGATCAGAGCAGAACTGAAGGAGATAGAGACATGAAAAACCCTTCAAAAAAAATTAGTGAATCCAAGAACTGGTTTTTTGAAAAGATTAACAAAATAGATAGACCACTAGCCAGATTAATAAAGAAGAAGAGAGAAGAATCAAATAGACACAGTAAAAAAATGATAAAAGGGATATCACCACTGATCCCACAGAAATAAAAACTACCATCAGAGAATACTATAAACACCTCTATGCAAATAAACTAGAAAATCTAGAAGAAATGGATAAATTCCTGGACACATACACCCTCCTAAGACTAAACCAGGAAGAAGTCGAATCCCTGACCAGACCAATAAGAAGTTCTGAAATTGAGGCAGTAATTAATAGCCTACCAAACAAAAACAAAGCCCAGGACCAGATGGATTCACAGCCAAATTCTACCAGAGGTACAGAGAGGAGCTGGTACCATTCCTTCTGAAATTATTCCAAATAATAGAAAAAGAGGGACTCCTCCCTAACTCATTTTATGAGGCCAGCATCATCCTAACACCGAAACCTGGCACAGACATGACAAAAAAAGAAAATTTCAGGCCAACATCCCTGATGAACATCGATACGAAAATCCTCAATAAAATACTGGCAAACTGAAATCCAGCAGCACAAAAAGTGTATCCACCATGATCAAGTCAGCTTCATTCCTGGGATGCAAGTCTGGCTCAACATACGCAAATCAATAAACATAATCCAACACATAAACAGAACCAATGACAAAAACCACATGATTATCTCAATAGATACAGAAAAGGCCTTTGATAAAATTCAACACCCCTTGATGCTAAAAACTCTCAATAAACTAGGTATTGATGGAATGTATTTCAAAGTAATAAGAGCTATTTATGACAAACCCACAGCCAATATCATACTGAATGGGCAAAAACTGGAAGCATTCCCTTTGAAAACCGGCACAAGACAAGGATGCCCTCTCTCACCACTCCTATTCAACATAGTATTGGAAGTTCTGGCCAGAGCAATCAGGCAAGAAGGAAGAAATAAAGGATATTCAAATAGGAAGAGAGGAAGTCAAATTGTCTCTGTTTGCAGATGACATGATTGTATAATTAGAAAACTCCATCATCTCAGCCCTAAATCTCCTTAAGCTGATAGGCAACTTCAGCAAAGTTTCAGCATACAAAATCAGTGTGCAAAAACCACAAGCATTCCTATACGCCAATAATAGACAAACAGAGAGCCAAATTGTGAGTGAACTCCCATTCACAATTGCTACAAAGAGAATAAAATACCTAGGAATACACCTTACAAGGGATGTGAAGGACCTCTTCAAGGAGAACTACAAACCACTGCTCAAGGAAATAAGAGAGGGCAACAAATGGAAAAACATTCTATATTCATGGATAGGAAGAATCAGTATCATGAAAATAGCCATACTGCCCAAAGTAATTTATAGATTCAATGCTATCCACATCAAGCTACCATTGACTTCCTTCACAGAATTAGAAAAAACTACTTTAAATTTCATATGGAACCAAAAAGGAGCCTGTATAGCCAAGACAGTCCTAAGCAAAAAGAACAAAGCTGGAGGCATCACACTACCTGACTTCAAACTATACTACAAGGCTACAGTAACCAAAACAGCATGGTACTGATACCAAAACAGATATATAGACCAATGGAACAGAACAGAGGCCTTAGAAATAACACCACACATCTACAACCATCTGATCTTTGACAAACCTGACAAAAACAAGCAATGGGGAAAGGATTCCCTATTTAATAAATGGTGTTGGGAAAACTGGCTAGCCATATGTAGAAAGAAAACTGAAACTGGACCCCTTCCTTAAACCTTATACAAAAATTAATTCAAGATAGATTAAAGACTTAAATGTAAGACCTAAAACCATAAAAACCCTAGAAGGAAACCTAGGCAATACCATTCAGGACACAGGCATGGGCAAGGACTTCATGACTAAAACACCAAAAGCAATGGCAACAAAAGCCAAAGTTGAAGTTGACAAATGGGATCTAATTTAACTAAAGAGCTTCTGCACAGCAAAATAAACTGTCTTCAGAGTGTACCTACAGGATGGGAGAAAATTTTTGGAATCTATCCGTCTGACAAAGTGCTAATATTCAGAATCTACAAGGAACTTAAACAAATTTACAAGAAAAAAAACAAACAACCCCATCAAAAAGTTGGTGAAGGATATGAACAGACACTTCTCAAAAGAAGACACTTAGGCCACCAACAAACTTATGAAACAAAGCTTATCATCACTGGTCATTAGAGAAATGCAAATCAAAACCACAATAAGATACCACCTCATGCCAGTCAGAATGGTGATCATTAAAAAGTCAGGAAACAACAGATGCTGGAGAGGATGTGGAGAAATAGGAATGCTTTTACACTGTTGGTGGAGTGTAAATTAGTTCAACCATTGTGGAAGACAGTGTGGCGATTCCTCAAGGAGCTAGAGTCAGAAATATCATTTGACCTAGCAATCCCATTGCTGGGTATATACCCAAAGGATTGTAAATCATTCTACTATAAAGACACATGCACACGTATGTTTATTACAGCACTGTTCACAATAGCAAAGACTTGGAACCAACCCAAATGCCCATCAATGATAGATTGGATTAAAAAAATGTGGCAAATATACACCATGGAATACTATGCAGCCATAAAAAAAGGATGAGTTCATGTCCTTTGCAGGGACATGGATGAAGCTGGAAACCATCATTCTCAGCAAACTAACACAGGAACAGAAAACCAAACACCACATATTCTCACTCATAAGTGGGAGTTGAATAGTGGGAACACATGGACACAGGGAGGGGAACATCACACACCAGGGCCTGTCAGGGAGTGGGGGATTAGGGGAGGGATAGCATTAGGAGAAATGCCTAGTGTAGATGATGGGGCGATGGGTGCAGCAAAGCACCATGGCACATGTATACCTACGTAACAAACTTGCATGTTCTGCACATATATCCCAGAACTTAAAGTATAATAAAAATAAGTAAGTAAATACATAAATAAATAAAATATGGAAAAAAGAAAATGTGGTACATATATACCATGGAATACTATGCAGCCATACAAAAGGACAAGATCATGTCCTTTGCAGGGACATGGATGGAACTAGAAGCCGTGATCCTCAGCAAACTAATGTAGAAACAGAAAACCAAACACCATGTGTTCTCACTTATAAGTGGGAGCTGAACAATGAGACCACATGGACACATGGTGGGGGAACAACACACACTGGGGCCTGGCAGGGGGCATGGCAGGAGAGAGAGCATCAGGAAGAATAGCTAATGGATGCTGAGTTTAATATCTAGGCGATGGGTTGATCTGTGCAGCAAACCACCACGACACATATTTACCTATGTAACAAACCTGCACATCCTGCACTTTACCCCTGGAACTTAGTTGAAGAAAGGTAAATAATAAATTGTTCCCTTAGACCAAAATTCAAATGCTGCCATGTTACTCAGTTTTCCAAGCCTCCTCTTGGTTTCCTCATACATAAAATGCCATCCCCTTTGCTGTCTTACTAATGCTGAATCATCAGCAAAATTGTGAGCTGTGAGTTAACTTGCCGGGATGTCTTTACAATTTTGTATTGGTTTCATCCATTCAAGCGTTCACTCAACTTGTAATGAGCATCAGTTACAAATCAAGCACAAAGCAAAGAGCTGGGCCATGAGTGGGTGAGGCACAAAGCTGCCTTCAAAGAGTTTGTGGTGTTGGGACAGCAAAGCTGTTACCGTTGTTATGATCCTGACTGACGGCTGGGACGAAGATGGACAGGGACTACAAGTGGGCAGAGAAGCGAGGGGCCAAGATCTCTGTCCTTTGAGGGTGGTCTCCTTCCAGTAACCCTCTCCTTGCCTACCTTCTACTTTTCCTTATTTTAAAAATTCTTGTTTTGCCCTGACACCATGTAAGCCAACTAGAAGTTGTGTTTCCTCTGAAAGCTAGATAGTGAAGAGGAGCTCATTCCAACAGCTTCCTTTGAGAGTAAATGCTGGGAGATTAAATAGGCTCCCTTCTTTGGGTCACCTACTGGCACCCATCTTTGGGATTCATATCATTTTCCAGCTTTGCAAACACAGGGGGCTTCTCAGCAAACTGCTTGTTAGGTCCTCCTTTAGGGAAACCCACCCTAAAGGTGGAGAGAAGAGATGGATAAGTGTGGACAGTTCCTTTCTAGCCAGGTTCACAGGTTTCTCTAACTACCTCTGAAATATATCTTAATTTATAAAATAAGCCATTTAGTGCTTTGCAGTTTAAAAAGTGCTTTCATATATATATATGCCTCATAACAAGTCTGCCAGCTGTTATTAGCCATTTTTTCATCTTTACCATGCTAATAAGCACAGTGGCCAAAGCCACACAGTCAGCAAGCAGTGGAGCTGGAACCAAAACCCCAGCCTTCTCCCTGACCTACCAATGTCTGACTTTCAATTGCACCTTACTGCGTTTTCTAAGCTTATCTGTGAGATGGATGTTATACCCATCTCACTACATCAAAGACTGTGGCTCAAAGAGTGGTAAATGGTTTGCCAGAGACCACATAGTTAAATATAAGTAGAGGAGGGATTTGAGTCCTTCCAGGGTCACTACATGGACACTTTTATGCTGGGGTTCTCAGATGCATTCTCTGGAATCCATGAGTTCATAATGCGAAGGCTTTAATTTCTATGATAATCTGTAGCAAGTGAATATAAGCTTATTCCGATCATTTATGTTGATGGTTCTCAAAATGTGGTCATCTGACCAGCAGCATCAGCATCACCTGGGAGCCTGTGAGAAATGCCAATTGTTCATGCTCCCCCACCCCCAAAACTACACAATCAGAAATTCTGGGGCTGGGGCCCAGCCCTCTGGGTTTAAACACATTCTCCATGGGTTCTGAGACATGCTTAAGCTTGAGAAATGGATCTAGATCATTCCCTCTCAACTTGGCTGCCCCTCAGAATTACCCAGGGAGTGTTTTAAAAGATTCCAACTTACTTGGTCGGAGTATGGCTGAGCACGGGCATTTTTAAAGTCTCTCCAAGTGATTCCACTGTACTACGGAGTCTGAGAGCCACTCATCTAAAGGACACCTTGCCCCCAAAGTGTCCCCTTACACATTCATGTCCTGTTTGTGTTACAGTCATGCTGGCACCAGATGAGCTGCTGCAGACTCATGAGGAAAGAGTCAAGACAGGCTCTTTGAAACCTCCCTCTCCAGGCATGCCACGTGAACAGAAGTTCCAGGAGACAGAAGAGAGGGGTGACAAGAAATTGCCCTGATCAAACTGCCACAGTGACACACCATGAAAAACACACAGAGATTGGCTCTGTGGCAATGGCATCATACCCAGGTCACAGGTGCAAATTTGGTGCAGCAAAGCAGCATTAAATATTTTGCATTAAATTGATGTTAATTTGCTTTTGCTGGTTTTATGGCTTATTTTTATATCTGGAATGATGTTTTTGTTTCCCATTATATATAAACTATAAGCAAAGGAAGTTTATTCCTACCTTTGGTTTGTAAAAATTTAAGTAGTGTTCAAATACAATCTTTAAGTCAATATTGGGGTCTGCAGGAATCTGTTTCTTTTAAGGGTCCTAAGCTGTTCTAACTTTGGGGAATTATAGCCTAATGCCTTCTGCGCATGTTGGTTTCCTGTGCCCAGACTCAAGTCCATAGATCCCCTCTTGATATGTGGGAGTTTAAGGGCTCCCTGTTTGGGAGTGCTGACAGGCCCAAGGCACCTCACCCCTCTTTAGGTCACCTGGGGACTCGGGCCTGGTCTCCATTCCCTGGACGGAAGTAGAAGTTATCTTTGAAGATTTCCAGGCAATAATTAACTGTAGTTTCAGGAGAAGGAAATTTGGTCAGTTTCTATGCAGTGCAAATTGGCCTCCCCTGTCTATCTTAGAGGGAGCTTTGTGTTCGGCTCTGTTATTGGGCTCTTTCCTGGAAGCATTGTTTCCTGTTTCAATATAACCGCTTCAAAATAATGTGAAGAGATCAATTGCCACTTGTCAGCTGTAATTTTCTGCCACTGAAAAAAAAGAATGTGGGGAGGAAAGTAAACTATGGGCTGGCTTATTAGCCAAGATGGAGGGAGGCAGGACGCCTGCTGCTGCCTCAGAGGGAGGGTCTACCTGGGCAGAGGTGCCTGGCTCCTGCTGCCCTCCCTGCCTTGAACCCTTCCTTGCACCTTCTCTTGCTAGCCAAATTCCACCCATCCTGCCAGAGCCAGCTCTAGTTCCAGACCCAAATGAGAAGACTTCTTGGTCACTCCAGCCCAGAGAGACTGCTCCTTCCTCTCATCTCATTGGTTTATCAAATCCTTGATGCATTTATTCAGCAAATATTGATTGAGCACCTAAGTAAATGTAGGAAAGCTTTGGGCTGCAAGGAATCCAAAACCTCATTTGCAGGGGTTCAAACAAATAGGTGTTTATTTTCCTCCTATAGCAAGAAGGTGACTTCTGGCTGGGTTAGAGTCAACATCTCAGGAACTCTCTTGAACTTGCCTATGTATTTGTTACTCTTGGTTATCAGGGAGCCACCAGACTTCAGGCATTCTTTGAAGCTTTCTTTGATTAGGAAAACCAGTCTTCCCCAGAGACTGGGCAGGGTTTTTTAAAACAGCATCATTGAGATATAATTGACATACAACCAACTGCACATATTTAAAGTATACAGTTTGATCAGTTTTGATACACATATGCACACATGAAGCCATCACCACAATCAAAATGGTGAGTGAATTCTTTACCTCCACAAAATCTTTTCCAGAATCCCACCCCCAACCCTGCAGATTTTTAAAAAATTTTTTATTTATATTTCATTGGTCAATACTTGATCCTGCGGCCACTCGTGGCTGCAAGGGCAGCTAGGAAAGGCAGGGCTTTGATTTCTTTTTTTTTATTTTTTTATTTTTTTATCTTTATTTTTATTTATTTTTTATTATTATTACACTTTAAGTTTTAGGGTACATGTGCACAACGTGCAGGCTTGTTACATATGTATACATGTGCCGTGTTGGTGTGCTGCACCCATTAACTCATCATTTAGCGTTACGTATATCTCTTAATGCTATCCCTCCCCCCTCCTGCCACCCCACAACAGTCCCCAGTGTGTGATGTTCCCCTTCCTGTGTCCATGTGTTCTCATTGTTCAATTCTCACCTATGAGTGAGAACATGCGGTGTTTGGT
The DNA here is from genome assembly GCF_000001405.40 of Homo sapiens. Classification (NCBI taxonomy): domain Eukaryota; kingdom Metazoa; phylum Chordata; class Mammalia; order Primates; family Hominidae; genus Homo; species Homo sapiens. Next base: position 78,676,750 of record NC_000010.11, read on the forward strand.
TTTTTGTCCTTGTGATAGTGTGCTGAGAATAATGGTTTCCAGCTTCATCCATGTCCCTACAAAGGACATGAACTCATCATTTTTAATGGCTGCATAGTATTCCATCGTGTATATGTGCCACATTTTCTTAATCCAGTCTATCATTGTTGGACATTTGTGTTGGTTCCAAGTCTTTGCTATTGTGAATAGTGCCACAATAAACATACGTGTGCATGTGTCTTTATAGCAGCATGATTTCTAATCCTTTGGGTATATACCCAGTAATGGGATGGCTGGGTCAAACGGTATTTCTAGTTCTAGATCCCTGAGGAATCGCCACACTGACTTCCACAATGGTTGAACTAGTTTATAGTCCCACCAACAGTGTAAAAGTGTTCCTATTTCTCCACATCCTCTCCAGCACCTGTTGTTTCCTGACTTTTTAATGATCGCCATTCTAACTGGTGTGAGATGGTATCTCATTGTGGTTTTGATTTGCATTTCTCTGATGGCCAGTGATGATGAGCATTTTTTCATGTGTTTTTTGGCTGCATAAATGTCTTCTTTTGAGAAGTGTCTGTTCATATCCTTTGCCCACTTGTTGATGGGGTTGTTTGTTTTTTTCTTGTAAATTTGTTGGAGTTCATTGTAGATTCTGGATATTAGCCCTTTATCAGATGAGTAGGTTGCAAAATTTTTCTCCCATTCTGTAGGTTGCCTGTTCACTCTGATGGTGGTTTCTTTTGCTGTGCAGAAGCTCTTTAGTTTAATTAGATCCCATTTGTCAGTTTTGGCTTTTGTTGCCATTGCTTTTGGTGTTTTAGACATGAAGTCCTTGCCCATGCCTATGTCCTGAATGGTATTGCCTAGGTTTTCTTCTAGGGTTTTTATGGTTTTAGGTCTAACATTTAAGTCTTTAATCCATCTCGAATTAATTTTCGTATAAGGTGTAAGGAAGGGATCCAGTTTCAGCTTTCTACATATGGCTAGCCAGTTTTCCCAGCACCGTTTATTAAATAGGGAATCCTTTCCCCATTGCTTGTTTTTGTCAGGTTTGTCAAAGATCAGATAGTTGTAGATATGCGGCATTATTTCTGAGGGCTCTGTTCTGTTCCATTGGTCTATATCTCTGTTTTGGTACCAGTACCATGCTGTTTTGGTTACTGTAGCCTTGTAGTATAGTTTGAAGTCAGGTAGCGTGATGCCTCTAGCTTTGTTCTTTTGGCTTAGGATTGACTTGGCAATGTGGGCTCTTGTTTGGTTCCATATGAACTTTAAAGTAGTTTTTTCCAATTCTGTGAAGAAACTCATCGGTAGCTTGATGGGGATGGCATTGAATCTACAAATTACCTTGGGCAGTATGGCCATTTTCACGATATTGATTCTTCCTACCCATGAGCATGGAATGTTCTTCCATTTGTTTGTATCCTCTTTTATTTCATTGAGCAGTGGTTTGTAGTTCTCCATGAAGAGGTCCTTCACATCCCTTGTAAGTTGGATTTCTAGGTGTTTTATTCTCTTTGAAGAAATTGTGAATGGGAGTTCACTCTTGATTTGGCTCTCTGTTTGTCTGTTATTGGTGTATAAGAATGCTTGTGATTTTTGCACATTGATTTTGTATCCTGAGACTTTGCTGAAGTTGCTTATCAGCTTAAGGAGATTTTGGGCTGAGACAGTGGGGTTTTCTAGATATACAATCATGTCATCTGCAAACAGGGACAATTTGACTTCCTCTTTTCCTAATTGAATGCCTTTTATTTCCTTCTCCTGCCTGATTGCCCTGGCCAGAACTTCCAACACTATGTTGAATAGGAGTGGTGAGAGAGGGCATCCCTGTCTTGTGTCAGTTTTCAAAGGGAATGCTTCCAGTTTTTGTCCATTCAGTATGATATTGGCTGTGGGTTTGTCATAGATAGCTCTTATTATTTTGAGGTACGTCCCATCAATACCTAATTTATTGAGAGTTTTTAGCATGAAGGTTGTTGAATTTTGTCAAAGGCCTTTTCTGCATCTATTGTGATAATCATGTGGTTTTTGTCTTTGGTTCTGTTTATATGCTGGATTACGTTTATTGATTTGCGTATGTTGAACCAGCCTTGCATCCCAGGGATGAAGCACACTTGATCATGGTGGATAAGCTTTTTGATGTGTTGCTGGATTCAGTTTGCTAGTATTTTATTGAGGATTTTTGCATCAATGTTCATCAAGGATATTGGTCTAAAATTCTCTTTTTTTGTTGTGTCTCTGCCAGGCTTTGGTATCAGGATGATGCTGGCCTCATAAAATGAGTTAGGGAGGAGTCCCTCTTTTTCTATTGATTGGAATCATTTCAGAAGGAATGGTACCAGCTCCTCCTTGTACCTCTGGTAGAATTCGGCTGTGAATCCTTCTGGTCCTGGACTCTTTTTGGTTGGTAAGCTATTAATTATTGCCTAAATTTCAGAGCTTGTTATTGGTCTATTCAGAGATTCAACTTCTTCCTGGTTAAGTCTTGGGAGGGTGTATGTGTCAAGGAATTTATCCATTTCTTCTAGATTTTCTAGTTTATTTGCATAGAGGTGTTTATAGTATTCTCTGATGGTAGTTTGTATTTCTGTGGGATCAGTGGTGATATCCCCTTTGTCATTTTTTATTGAGTCTATTTGATTCTTCTCTATTTTCTTCTTTATTAGTCTGGCTAGTGGTCTATCAATTTTGTTGATTTTTTCAAAAAACCAGCTCCTGGATTCATTGATTTTTTGAAGGGTTTTTTGTGTCTCTATCTCCTTCAGTTCTGCTCTGATCTTAGTTATTTCTTGCCTTCTGCTAGCTTTTGAATGTGTTTGCTCTTGCTTCTCTAGTTCTTTTAATTGTGATGTTAGGGTGTCAATTTTAGGTCTTTCCTGCTTTCTCTTGTGGGCATTTAGTGCTATAAATTTCCCTCTACACACTGCTTTGAATGTGTCCCAGAGATTCTGGTATGTTATGTCTTTGTTCTTGTTGGTTTCAAAGAACATCTTTATTTCTGCCTTCATTTCGTTATGTACCCAGTAGTCATTCAGGAGCAGGTTGTTCAGTTTCCGTGTAGTTGAGTGGTTTTCAGTGAGTTTCTTAACCCTGAGTTCTAGTTTGATTGCACTGTGGTCTGAGAGACAGTTTGTTATCATTTCTGTTCTTTTACATTTGCTGAGGAGTGCTTTACTTCCAACTATGTGGTCAATTTTGGAATAGGTGTGGTGTGGTGCTGAAAAGAATGTATATTCTGTTGATTTGGGGTGGAGAGTTCTGTAGATGTCTATTAGGTCCGCTTGGTGCAGAGCTGAGTTCAATTCCTGGATATCCTTGTTAACTTTCTGTCTTGTTGATCTGTCTAATGTTGACAGTGGGGTGTTAAATTCTCCCATTATTATTGTGTGGGAGTCTAAGTCACTTTGTAGGTCATTAAGGACTTGCTTTATGAATCTGGGTGCTCCTGTATTGGGTGCATATATATTTAGGATAGTTAGTTCTTCTTGTTGAATTGATCCCTTTACCATTATGTAATGCCTTCTTTGTCTCTTTTGATCTTTGTTGGTTTAAAGTCTGTTTTATCCGAGACTAGGATTGCAACCCCGCCTTTTTTTGTTTTCCATTTGCTTTGTAAATATTCCTCCATCCCTTTATTTTGAGCCTATGTGTGTCTCTGCATGTGAGATGGGTTTCCTGAATACAGCACACTGATGGGTCTTGACTCTTTATCCAATTTGCCAGTCTGTGCCTTTTAATTGGAGCATTTAGCCCGTTTACATTTAAGGTTAGTATTGTTATGTGTGAATTTGATCCTATCATTATGATGTTAGCTGGTTATTTTGCTCGTTAGTTGATGCAGTGTCTTCCTAGCCTTGATGGTCTTTACAATTTGGCATGTTTTTGCAGTGGCTGGTACCGGTTGTTCCTTTCCATGTTTAGTGCTTCCTTAAGGAGCTCATTTAGGGCAGGCCTGATGGTGACAAAATCTCTCAGCATTTGCTTGTCTGTGGAGGATTTTATTTCTCCTTCACTTATGAAGCTTAGTTTGACTGGATATGAAATTCTGGGTTGAAAATTCTTTTCTTTAAGAATGTTGAATATTGGCCCCCACTCTCTTCTGGCTTATAGAGTTTCTGCCGAGAGATCCACTGTTAGTCTGATGGGCTTCCCTTTGTGGGTAACCCGACCTTTTTCTCTGGCTGCCCTTAACATTTTTTCCTTCATTTCAACTTTAGTGAATCTGACAATTATGTGTCTTGGAGTTGCTCTTCTCGAGGAGTATCTTTGTGGCATTCTCTGCATTTCCTGAATTTGAATGTTGGCCTGCCTTGCTAGATTGGGGAAGTTCTCCTGGATAATATCCTGCAGAGTGTTTTCCAACTCGGTTCCATTCTCCCCATCACTTTCAGGTACACCAATTAGACGTAGATTTGGTCTTTTCACATAGTCCCATATTTCTTGGAGGCTTTGTTCATTTCTTTTTATTCTTTTTTCTCTTAACTTCTCTTCATGCTTCATTTCATTCATTTCGTCTTCCATCACTGATACCCTTTCTTCCAGTTGATCGCATCAGTTACTGAGGCTTGAGCGTTGGTCACGTAATTCTCATGCTGTGGTTTTCAGCTCCATCAGGTCCTTTAAGGACTTCTCTGCATTTGTTATTCTAGTTACCCATTCGTCTAATTTTTTTTCAAAGTTTTTAACTTCTTTGCCATTGGTTTGAACTTCCTCCTTTAGCTCGGAGTAGCTTGATCTTCTGAAGCCTTCTTCTTTCAACTCGTCAAAGTCATTCTCCATCCAGCTTTGTTCAGTTGCTAGTGAGGAGCTGCGTTCCTTTGGAGGAGGAGAGGCGCTCTGATTTTTAGAGTTTCTGGTTTTTCTGCTCTGTTTTTTCCCCATCTTTGTGGTTTTATCTACCTTTGGTCTTTGATGATGGTGACGTACAGATGGGTTTTTGGTGTGGATATCCTTTCTGTTTGTTAGTTTTCCTTCTAACAGTCAGGACCCTCAAATGCAGGTCTGTTGGAGTTTGCTGGAGGTCCACTCCAGACTCTGTTTTCCTGGGTATCAGCAGCGGTGGCTGCAGAACAGTGGATATTGGTGAACCGCAAATGCTGCTGGCTGATTGTTCCTCTGGAAGTTTTGTCTCAGAGGAGTACCTGGCCGTGTGAGGTGTCAGTCCGCCCCTACTGGGGGGTGCCTCCCAGTTAGGCTATTTGGGGGTCAGGAACCCACTTGAGGAGGCAGTCTGCCCGTTCTCAGATCTCAAGCTGTGTGCTGAGAGAACCACTACTCTCTTCAAAGCTGTCAGACAGGGACATTTAAGTCTGCAGAGGTTATTGCTGTCTTTTGTCTGTCTGTGCCCTGCCCCCAGAGGTGGAGCCTACAGAGGCAGGCAGTCCTCCTTGAGCTCTGGTGGGCTCCACCCCATTCGTTTACCTACTCCCAGGCTTTGTTTACACCCAGGCTTTGTTTGCCTACTCAAGCCTGAGCAATGGCGGGCGCCCCTCCCCCAGCCTCGTTGCCGCCTTGCAGTTTGATCTCAGACTGCTGTGCTAGCAATGAGCGAGGCTCCGTGGGCGTAGGACCCTCTGAGCCAGGTGCAGGATATAATCTCCTGGTGTGCCGTTTGATAAGCCTGTTGGAAAAGCTCAGTATTCGGGTGGGAGTGACCCGATTTTCCAGGTGCCGTCTGTCACCCCTTTCTTTGACTAGGAAAGGGAATTCCCTGACCCCTTGCGCTTCCCAGGGGAGGCGATGCCTCACCCTGCTTCGGCTCATGCACGGTGCGCTGCACCCACTGTCCTGCACCCACTGTCCGGCACTCCCCAGTGAGATGAACCCAGTACCTCAGTTGGAAATGCAGAAATCACCCATCTTCTGCATCGCTCACGCTGGGAGCTGTAGACTGGAGCTGTTCCTATTCGGCCATCTTCAGGGGTTTGATTTCTAACACATACGGGAAAAGGGGACTGACAGTGAATTTGAGCAGCTATTGAATAGTGTCTCCCAGCCCACAGCTCCAGGATTGGGGAAAGAAGTGTAAGCAGACAGTCTGGCTTCTCTCATTGTGCAGTTAGCAGTCAGTACTCTCAGCCACTTAGCTGGCATGACCTGGTTACATCTGGGTTTTGATGCTGTCAGTAAATGGATAGGCTGCCCTCCTCTCTCCCTAAACTTAAAAGAACTGACTCCCTCCCCTGCCCCAGCTGCCCAAAAACTAAGATGAAGAAAGGGAACTAACTTGTTGCATTTATTGTGCCCCTACTGTTTGCTGGGTGTCTCCTGTGTGCCTCCTCCTCACATAGATGCTGTGTGGTATGTGAAGTGTGCATTCTCTCAGCCTTTCTCCACATGTGGGAAATAAGACCCAGAGAGAAGTGGCCTGCCTGAAACAGCACAGCTTGTAAGTCACCAAGCCAGGACTCAAGGCCAGCCTGAGGCCATCCCCTGTGCTTTCTTTTAAAAGAGAGCACAGCACCAGGTTTGGGATAATGTAGGAAAAATGGATTCAAGCTCTGACTCCAACAGGCTCAGAGTGGTGCAGCCAGAAATCCACAAATCTTAGGCCAGTATCCTCTCCTGCTGGTCTCCTGATCCTTGTTCATTCCACCACATCCAGGACAGGTCATTCTTGGGAATGTGATATGGGAGGAATGGAAGGGAAGGGGCAGGAAGTAGAAAATCCTGGGGAAAGAGGACTCTACCATTTAGTATAATTTGGAGGTATGAACTAGCTGCAGGACTTTGAGGGCCCTTCAGCACTCTGACCCCACACAGCACCCTTCACTCTCCAACATAGGAATCCCTCAGAGGCTCCTGGAGGCCGTTTGTGCCAAGGTGGTTCCTGAAACTGCTTCTGGAGAGACAAGAGTGCAGAGAGTTGGAATCAGAGTGGATTCCCTGAGCTGGAATCCTGACTAGCTGTGTGACCTTGGGCAAGCCATGCAACTTCTCTGTGCCTACTTTGTCCATCCGTGAAATGAAGAAGAAGTCCTATTGCCTCATAGGTCTGCTGTCCCATGGGAGGTAATGCATTCGTGGCATGTCTGCTTTCTCAGTACAGGTGAGCCATTGCAGTGAACCCTGGTGAGTAAGAACTCCCCCGGTGAATTGGGGAACAGTTCATTCACTGCTGGCTCTTGCTGGAGGTTAAGACACCACTGGTCTCCACAGGTGGCCAGGTCCACATATCCAGGCACCCTCAAGTGACCATCCTAGGGCTCTTACTACTCTGCTGCCCACAAAACCCTATGGCCATTACTTGCCTAGGGAGTCCCACCCCACCTGGGTTTTCTGGTCATGACCAACCAGCACCCTACTACCCACTTGCTTTAGCCTGAGTCTAAGGACAGTGGCCTAGGCCCTGAGGCCTTTGGGCACAAAAATCAGAAGAGTATAGACATCCCGTGAGCTTCAGGACATGTGTATATTGCCAGCAACTGTGCCTGCCCATCCACTGGGGTCTTTTTAGGAAATCCAGGAATCTCAAAGAAGATAAGCCCTTAATAAAGGAAGACAGGTGGAATCTCAATCTCTGAACAGCCTGTGGAAGCAAGAAATTGCCCATGATGGGAATAGTCAAGATACATCAAATGGGGGAAACTTTCCAGGTTGGTAAATCCCACACTTTGCACAAACTAAAATACAGAATGTTGATTCTTTGAAACAGACCAGGTGTTGAGACGGAGAGAGAGAGAGAGAGAGAGGAGATCCAAGGTCAAAACAAGTTTGAACAGATTCCCTGCTTTCTCAGGGTCTTTACTATGCTAACATGCCATGACTGTTCAATGCTGTGGAGCTAGGGGGTGGGAGGGGGTGTGTCAGTGCAGCAACCCCTTTAGGGGGCCATCTCTCCACACTAGAGTTTGGGGGACACTGATGTCTCATCAGCCTCCAGTCATCAGCCGGCTGGTTGCTGAGTGAGACTAATGAAGGCATGCTCGTTCTCTGCCTTCGTTTGCCTCTCTGGATAATGGGGGTGGTCTTCATGGTGGCCAAATTGAGCCCAGGAGCCTGAAGCAGAGCCCTTAATGAGTACTGCTTGGTGATGAAAGGCCCCCTTAAGCTCCAGCCACCATTATTGCATGATGGAATAAATGTGACCAGCCTAGGAGACGCGTACGAATAAATTTGAATAGCAAGACACAAATGCCACCCTTAACTCCAACGAGCAAATAGAGTTTAATAAAGAGGTAAACTGAGACCGCTTTTATTTATTGCTGTGTAAATGTATTTAAAAAGGTATTGGCTTTCTGCAGCTGCAGAGGCCAGTTCCTCTGCAGCCTGGTGCTTTAATGCCTGCCGCTGTTATTAGAGCCGTAATAAATGAGCTGCTGTGAGTGCGCTCTTCAGAAGGACTGCAGAGGTACAAGATTAATGAGATGAGAGCATTGAAAGGTACAGACGGCCCCTATTTCCCAGTCGCCGTGTGATGTCTGCAGCAGCACCTCTGGCTTTGTTTGCGCTACAGTGGCTGGGAGGCTGCTGCATGGAAACGTCCAGGGAACCTGGCACAGGGCTGGGAAGGCATACACCTCCCGCCAGCTTTCATCCCTGAGCCCTCTACCTTCTCCCTGTTGGAGGGGGCCCCTTTGCCTGCCCCCCAGGGCAAGCTTTCCCTGCAGCTGCCTTCCCATTCTGGCTTGGATTTGGTCCTGGAGCCCCCTACTTCTGTTGGGGTTTTATTTCAACCCCATTACCACCCCACACAGCCTTCTTTGGGGATGTTGTGGAATCCTCTGATTGGATCCCCAAACCCAGCAGCCACTTCCAGGATGGGAAATCAACTGTGCTATAGGACAGCTTCTAGGGAAAAGGCATGGCACTTTTCTTTGCCTGCTAAATACCCGTGGGGCTGTAGCGCAGGGTGACTGCCTAGTAAAGCAAAACGAATCCTGGAGGGTGATAAAGTGTCAATTGGTGAGTTGGAGTTCCCTGAGTCAGGAATTTATAAATTATTTACAGAAAGATTATTTGTAAGCAGGAACAAATCAACTGTGCTGTTTCACAACTACCTTGGAGGTAGATATTAACCCCATTTTATAGATATGGATACAGAGGCTCAAAGGGTAAAACAATATGCCCCATGTCACATGGTCAGGAAGTGCCAGATGAGAGATCCTCCTGTGAAAATCCACTCTTCAGTGGGATTGAAGTCTCTCCTCGGGTGTCAAATGTGATGATGCTCTCTTGGCCGACAAGCAGGGCCTTTGTGCTTATGACTCACACTTCAGACATGGCCTAGGTTGGTTGCAAAAAACTGGGTGCTTGCTAAGAAACAGAGATCACCACCCACTAGGGAGAGAGGGTATAAATAGTGCAGGTGGTGGGGTCTAGCAGAAAGGGCGCAGGAAGGTAGAGGCTGTGTGACCCGGGTGAGTCATTTTACCTCTCTGAGCTTCAGTTTGCTCTTCTATCAAATAAGGATAAAAATAGTACCTATTTTTACCTCTAGAAGGCCTCGTAGACCCCCCACACACACACCAAATCCAGGGGTCACAGAGGCATAAGTGGAAGCTGACCCAGCTGATGCCTAGGTTGGAGCCCACTCCCAGCCCTCCCGGCCCCACATGAGGGCTAATTAGCACATCTAACTTCATTGCATTTTTTTGTGAGCAGCAAATCAGATAATGCATGTAAAATACTTTAAGAGTACATGAGAAGTTCAATATGCTCAATAAAAAAGAAATCTGGGTTTGTTCTCTGGGTCAACATGCAGCAAGAACCTTCAACACATGTTTGGAGTACAAAGGAAAAAGCGTTCAGCTCCTTTTGCCAGCCTAAGATGGACTTGAGAATAGGCTGTTTTGGAGATGGGCTGGGAAGTGGAGTAGCTTCTAAGTCCCTGGTTTCTGTCGGGTTCAGGAGATACAGCAGTGCCTGAAACAGCCCCAGCATTTGCCTTCCTGAAGCTCACTCTCTAGTAGCACGCACAGTGGGTGTGGGTCAGGGTCAGGGTCAGGTGGTGACAAGGGCTGCAGAGTAAGAGGATGTGGAAGGGCAGGAACCGGGGGCAGGGTGCCACTTTAAACGATGTGGTCAAGCACGGCCTCACGGAGGTGACATTTCAGGGATGACCTAGCAAGTTGGGAAGTGAAGCATGTGGACAGCCGGGTGGAGAACTTTCCAGGCATTAAGAAGAGCAAGTGCAAAGGCCCTGCTCTGGGGGTGTGCCTGGAGCATTTGAGGGCAGCCAGTGTGGCTGGAGCAAGTGGACAAACAGGGACACCACCAGAGGCAACTCGGAGCAGCCAGGAAGCCAAAGCCATTAGGCCTTGCAGAGCCCCATCCTGCAGGTACACGGACCCCTCTTCCCTGCAGTGGGAGCTAATGGAGAGTGTGGAAACTTCTCGGATCCACTGGTGGGTAGGCCAAGGTGCGGGACCAGGGCAAGCTCAGGAAACAATGACCAGTGCTGTTGGATCAGCAAAGAGGGCACAGCAGAGAACTAGTGGAAGTTGATGCTAGACAGGCTGGCCACAGAGAAGAAGCCTTAGCACCAGGCTGAGAAATTCCTGCTGAATCCTGTAGGCCATATGTTGTCTCAAATGCTTCTGCCCATGGAAGGTTTGGGTGTTGTCAGAGGAAAGGACAGAAGTTCGGGGTCAACATAGACTCTCTGGAGAGAGACAGGAGGGTCTGGACTGGAGCGAGGCGGCAGTGCCTGGGGAGAAGAGCATGCCAGGGTTGTGGAATTGTGCCAGTTTGGTTGTCAGAGACTGGAGATGGAGGAAGGGAAAGGAGGATCCAGGGGTCACAGAGGCAAAAGTGGAAGCTGACCCAGCTGATGCCTAGACTGGAGTCCACCCCCAGCCCTCTCGGCCCCACATTAGGGCTCATTAGCACTTCTTCTAACTTACCAAGAAATTCAATGTCCTACAAAATAACCAGCCGAGCCCCAAGGGAGCCAGAAGGCCTATTCATCACAGCTGGGGTTTCCAAGGACCTCACTGTCTGTCCCATGGATTTCATCCTGTGAAGAAGCTGGCCCACCATGGGAAGAGAGACTAATTGGTATCTCCATAGCTTGGACTATTTTTTCCACTGGATCTGCAGTTTCTGGGTAAACAGTCATCAAATCAGCATTCAGCATGAGCTGAAGGAAAGTTTGCACACTTGCCATGTGGCCTAAATTAAGTGAGTGGTGCAGTCAGTAAAGCATGTGTGCTAAAAAATAAACATTTAAGATGTCAGGGTTGAAGATACTCTTGTAGCCTTTTAAGGAAGGAGATGTCAATTTCTTCTTTTAAAATTCCAAATAAAAATGTCACTAACAATATTTCTGATATCACTTCACAAGTGTCAGCCCATGCAAGCAATAGTGTGTGTGCATACATACAAGGGTGTGTGTGTGAGAGAGAGAGAATGAAAAGGCATGTACATACACATGCACAATAGATATGTGGATTTCTGTACGTTTGTGATTGTGACAGTGAGTTAGTGGGTATGTGAGTGCATGTGCATGTGTGTGTGTATGAATGTGAATGTGAGCATTTGAGTGTGTGCCTGTTTATGTATTGTGTGTGAAGGTGTGAGTGTGTGCATGTGCACATGGGTGTGTGTATGAGTGGGTGTAAGTGTGGACGTGCACGCGTGGGTATATTGTGTGTGTGAAGGTGTGTGTACACATGCACATGTGCATTGTGTAGATGTGTGAGGGTGTGTGTGTGAGGGCAGGGGTGCACACCTGTGTCCCTGAGAGTGTGTGCACGCCCATGTGTGCATGTGTGCCACTCAGGACAGCATGCACACATGGCTGCTCTGTCTCCTAGCAGCCTGCCTATCAGCTCCTCCCTGCATTCTTCCACGGCAGGCCCCAAGGCTGTGGCCAAGAAAGCAATCAGGCATCCCATTTGTATCTTGCCTGTCATCCACCCAAACAGCGGGCAGGCAGGGGCAAAGGGAAGGTGCCAGCCCTGCTCCTCAGATGCCCAGGCCTCCCCTACAATGGAGGAGGACTTGGCCAGACTGGGGGGCTGGCCCCACACTTCTACTGCACTCCCAATTACTGGCACCTTCTGAGTGGCTTATGGAAAAGGCACTGGTTGCCATGAGGAAGATATTCCACTGGAGCATTCCCATTCTCCACAAAAAGAACCTTCAGCATATTATACACATTTCTCAATGTGATTATCCCCAGCCCACACACACAGCTTGGAGGATTAAAACATAAAATACAGTCTGCTCCCCACACATGAGACCAACACTACAACTGGCATCATAATAAATAAATGAAGTGGCCTCTCCTCCTCCTTTCCCTCTCCTCTCCTTCCTCCTCCTCCCCCATTCCCTCCTCCTCTCCTCTCCTCTCCCTCCTCCCTGGTTCTCCCTCCTCCCCTCTCCCCTCCACCTCTGCCTGGTGCTGGGCTTGTTTTGCTTCTTGTCTTCTGGATCCCATCAATCCCCTCCTGCCCCTCCCCACACAGCCCACGGCGGGCAGCATCACCGCAAGGAACGTCACCCCATGCTGCTGCTGCCACCATGGAATGAGGGCTTTGTTCAACAAGCCACCCAGGGTTCTGTTTGCTGCCTCTGCCGCAGAGGGTTCACTACACTAAATGCTGGCAGAAGGGCGGAGTGAGGGCGGGAGGAGGGAGGAAGGAAGATTTTATAAGCAAATGGCTTCATGGATCATTGAAGGGACATTAGGAAGCATCCCGGAGCACCTAAAACCAAACGCCTCAGTGCAAATGGATGGAAGGGCGTCAGCTGTGGAAACTGGAGCTATTGCGAGCAGCTTGGGTTGCTAGGGAACAGCCCTGAGAACGTTTTGTCTTCAGGCTGCAGATCCTGGATCCTCCTGGGATTTCCAGTTCTAGAGCCACTGCCAGCCAGTGGTGCCAGCATCAGCAGGCGATGGGGCTAGGAAATCTGTGCAGTCCCAGGAGGCTGTGGGCCAGGCAGAGGGGCCCCAGGCTGCCTCTGAGATTGAGTGTGCATTAGGGGATAGGTTTGGGGAGCAGCCCATGCTGGTGATTTTCTTTAAACAAAAATGCTGGTGCCCAGCTTGGTACAGAAAGCCTGGGAGACAGGGGTTTCAACTTCCTGATAACAGTGCTCCAATTCGGAGCCCAGATCTGGTTAGTTCTGAGCTCAGCAACCCTGCCTGTGCACACTGTCCCCTCACATTCCTTCCTCTGGGCTTTCTCTCCACCAGCCCAGCCCCAGGACCATTCTCTTAAGAGCTCTTGTCAGCCCAACCGACTTGACCTCAGCTCTTTGGGGAGCAGGGGACTTTTTTTTTTTTTTTGAGACCAAGTTTCGCTCTTGTCACCCAGCCTGGAGTGCAGCGGTGCAATCTCGTCTCACTGCAACCTCCGCCTCCCAGGTTCAAGTGATTCTCCTGCCTCAGGCTCCCAAATATCTGGGACTACAGGCACTGGCCACCACACCCAGCTAATTTTTGTATTTTTAGTAGAGATGGTGTTTCACCATGTTGGCCAGGCTGGTCTCGAACTCCTGACCCCAGGTGATCCTCCCACCTCGGCCTCCCAAGGTGCTCAGATTACAGATGTGAGCCACCACGCATGACTATGGCACCTTTGATGGTACTTATACGCCAGTTAAATAATAAGTGATGTGCAGTGGTTCTTGTCTGTACACATTAATTAGGCTGTGTGGGGAGGGACAAGGGCTGGTTCTGTTCTCATTGTTTCACTAGCTATGGATAGTTCTAGGTTTTGGCTCACAGTCCAGTTTTTGTTAAGGTGCTGATGGAACACTTGCCAATGGCCCGGTTCAGTGCTGAATAGGAAGAAGAGCTGGCCAACTTGAGTTATTACATCTCTGCCACTCAAGGTGATGTCAGGTAAGCTGTTGACTCCAGCTGATCCTCAGTTTTTCTATCTGTAAAATGGGCTCATGATTAGCTAAAATAGCGTGCAGAAAGTACAGAGCACAGTAGATATTCCCACCCTTTGCAGCCTGGGCCCCAGGGCTGTTTAGAAACCCCATGAGTGACGCTGATATGTTTCATTCACCACTACCCTGCTCACCTATCTTCTGCCCCACCAGGCCCCACCCTCAAGCCTTCAAGCCCAGGAACCTGCCTAGACTGTCCATTCTGAACTTGGGCCAGATCTTAACCTGCTGGTAAAGCACTGGCTGAGGGTTTAGACTTTCAAGGAATTTGAGGTTGTTTTCCCTGCCTTATTGCAACCCAGTGTCTGGCTGCTGAGACCAGAGGCTTGGGCCACCCAAGGGATGCCTTGCCTAACAGTGCTGGCCTGAGATTTTGTTATGTACACTTGCTTTTGTGGCAGTGGCACCAAAGCTATGCTGGACACAATTTCCCCTCCAGCACTGTCCAGAAGACCAGAATGCAGAGTCATTTTTTCAGCTCCTTTTTGCAATCTCTGTAGTCTTTTTTGTATGAGAGGAAGGGACATAGGAAAGCAAATTATCAGCTAGGTACCTACTGTGCTCCTGGCTCAGGGCCTGGCACGTAGAGCTGCCCCAAAATATTGATTAAGAAAAGAGTAGACACCTTTAGGCCATAATTTCATCTAAGACTCTTGGTAAACCAAAGAGGTGAATTAGCAGCCCCACTTTGCAGATGGGAAAACTAAGATTCAGGGAGGTAAGGTGTCTTGCTCACAGTGTACAGTCAGCTCCTGGGGCTGAAATCTAAGCCACGGTGACCCTTGGGTTCTGATCACTCCTATGGGTGTCCTCATCACACTGGGCTGTTTCCCTGGCACCAAGGTGACACAGGGGTCAGGAAATGTAGTTTTGGGACATCTGCCAAATGGCCCAGCCTAAGGGCCTGATCAGGACTGAGATTGCCAGGATTGGAGCTTTTCTCAGCCATGTTTGATATTGTCAACAAATCCAGGGAGGACCGGCAGGGTAGAGTGGGTAGATGGAAGATGGAGTGGGAAGTAAGAGGTAGGGAGGAAAGGTACAGCCTCAGGTCAGCTGGCCTGATTCAAAGGGTCAGTCAGAGAGGGCAAGACCACTCCAGCCATTCTGAGACTACAGGGAGGTTTGAAAGCCAGGCCAGCTGGACAACAGCATAGAGTGCCAATCTATGAGGAGCCCTAAGCCATCCCTGGGAATGCAAGAAGATACAGGAAATACTGTTCCATGGACTTCTCCCTGGGGCTAGTGCCTGTGGTTTGGGAAGATAACTTTGAGCACCTGTGAGCAGTGGGGAGTTGGAGCAGAGAGAGCCCCCAGGGTAGGCCTGTGTAGTCACATATCCTCACTCCCCTGCCTTCTAAGGAGGGCCAGCACAGCATTAGCAGCAGAACTTATGACTGCTAAGGGGAGTGTGCACGTTTGGACCAGAGCTGAAAACGAGGCAAGAGAGTTCCAAAAACTAATGCAACCTCTGTCTTCTTCCTCTGCATTCTCTGCCCTACAGAGTTCTGCCTTGCCTCCAAATTCCCATTAGGTCAATATTTGAAAAGCACTGGTGTGAAATTACACTACTTATGATCTGCCTGGATTTCTCAATTGGCTCAGAGAGGTGTTTGGGGAATCAGGCTTCCATAAGATCAGTCACCCCCAGACTCCCTCGCATATTCAACCTCTGCCTATGAGACACTTATGGTTATAGTAAATAGATGTCACAAAGGTCTGTGGCCAACCCAAAATATCTGGGGCGGCAACACACAAGGGAACAGAGGGATAGACCTCAAACCAGGGCCCAGCTTCTGCTGCTGGTAATATAGGTGACAGCCCAGCCAGGTGGTAAAATTTATACAACGAGCTGTCCCAGAAAAACAAAAAGGCTGGATTCGTAGCATTTGCCAATTTCTGTGGTGTAAACACTTTCACTATTGGGCTTTATGTTGTTGACTATGGAGCTGAAAGAAGTGCTCTCACAAATCTGTATGAGCCAGCCCCATCACACATCTGCAACAGGACTGGGTCCTGTCCCCACTACCTGGAGGGAAACCAGAGAGAAAGAGGGAGACACAGACATGGAGAGAAAGAAGGAGAGAAAAACAGACAAGTACACTCTGCTGGGAGGATGTATATCTGAAAATGAGTTGTTAAAACGGTATAAAAATTTTTTAAACCCAACTTCATTAGGAGATAGAGGTGAGTTGGTGATAAAGCATTTTAGCCTTCAATTCCAACTTCAATTTCAAGCTTTATTTGCTTAAGGAAGCTTGGAGAAGAAACACTGTGCAAGGTGCGTGTGCATATTTGTGTCTGTGCACACTTGCACACATAGGTGTGGGGCGCTGTGTTCTGCAGGAAAACTTGGTATTTGACTTCTACAGAGAGGGCTTGCTTTTATTGACCTGCACGAAGCCTCCCTGCTCAGGGGTGAGAGGCATATCAGAATGGGTCCAGGCAGCAAGCTCTCTACCAAGCACCTAGAACCCTATACTACCTTTTGGCATAGGCAATTTATACAAGCGTCTTCTGCACGACCTGTGAGGAGGGCTGCATAGTCCATGGGTGTGTCCTCTTTGAGGAGCAGAGGTCAGCTCCCCCACCTGAACCAGACTTCTCCCCTGCCCCACTGGGTCCCCACTTGGGGACTTTGAATCAGGAAGAGAGTCCCAAGCCCTAACTGCCACACTGGGGACCAGCTCAGAATTTTCTAGTGACCTGTAGCAAGACCCTCTGACGCATCCTTCACAGCTGAGGGGATAGGAGAGTTTTCAAGGCCTAGGTCCAGTGCAACCTTCCAGGATTCTACCTCCTCAACTCTCAGATCTCTTATCTGTGCCCCTCCCTTTCTCCTCGTCAAAGATGGAGCCTATATCTGAGTCTTCTCCACATCCATCACACTCACCAATGAAGAATGAACAATGTGTCAGCAGGGAGATCAGCTGATTCAAACATCCCACGTGCAGATGGGAAAATTGAGGGCCATGGCTGCTCCCTTCCTCACACCCTATTTTAGACCCTACAGTTTCCCCAAGTGTTTTAACTCCTTCTGGGTCCTGGATGCTTGTCTACCTGGAATGCCCTTCTTCCTCTTGTCTATCTGGCAGGTTCCTGTACACCCATAAAAACCAATCCCAACAATCCCCTCCTCTGTGAAGTCTTCACTGATCTACACCTCTCCCTGACATCCTGCCAGTAGAGTGATTTCTCATCCTCTGGGTCCCAAGTCACTTAGCACCCACCTTTGCAGATGACCCTGAGACATGAACTGCAATACTGCATCTCTGTCCACTCTGAGGTATCCCTCTGGGAGGACTGTGCCTGAGCCTGGAAAGAATGGTCCTGGAGCCCTGGGATGGGGGAGTCAGGGGAGAAGGAGGCTGGACTTCTGAATCCCAGATTTTATGTGCTGCCTGGAGTTGTTCCTCTCTCCACCAGTCTTCCCTAAGCACCTCACTCCACGATACCACACACATACCTGGCAGGGCCTGAGGAGGAAGGAGGGTGAGCTAGTTTAACTTGGGACCTCCTGGGTAGGACCTTCTAGCTGGAACCTAGAATTGGAATCTTCCTGATTTTAGCCTTCACCTTCACAGTCTTTTCAGTTTAATTCTTTAAGAGAATAAAGGTTGGAATATGAGTTTATGAAAAAAAATGGAAATGTGGACCTCATAAAAATGAAACCTTCTCCTTATCAAGAGACACTACGAAAAGCCTGAAAAGCCAAGCCATGGAGCAGGAGAAAGCATTCACAATAAGCATATCTGACAAAGGCCTTCTATCTAGAATATATAAAGGACTCTTCCAAATCAATGAGAAATGATAGCCCACAGAAAAAAATGGGCAAAGGATTAGAATAAACACTTCAGAAAACAGTGTATTTAAATGGCCAATAAACATAAGGGGCTCACTTTCAATAGTCGTTAGAGAAATGTGATATAACCCCACAATAAGATACACCTGTTTGAATGACTAAAATTCAAATGGCTGACAATATCAAGTGTTGACAAGGATGTGCAGCAACCAGAATGCTTATACACCACTGGTGGAAGTATAAAGTGTCCAAGAAACTTGACAAATTGTCAGTATCTACTAAAGTGGAACACATGTATACTATATAAATCAACAGTTCCACTCGTATGAATCAACACAGCGTAAATGTATACCTTGTTCACCAAAAATGTGCAAGAATGTTCACAGCTACATCATTCATAATAGCTAAAAAGAGAAAACAACCAAAATGCACACCAATGGGAGAACGGATACAGAAAAAATGGAATTCTGTATACCAGTGGAAATGAACAAATCCCTTCTCTACACAGAAACACAGATGAGTCTCAGAACTGTAATGCTGAGCCAAGAAATCAGATATAGGCTGGGCATGTTGGCTCACACCTGTAATCCCAGCTCTTTGGAAGGCTGAGGCAGGAGGATCACTTGAGGTCAGGAGTTTGAGACTAGCCTGGCCAACATGGTGAAACCCTATCTCTACTAAAAAATACAAAAATTAGCCAGGCATGGTGGTGCACACTTGTAATCCCAGCTACTCGGGAAGCTGAGGCAGGAGAATCACTTGAACCCGGGAGGCAGAGGCTGTAGTGAGCCAAGATCGTGCCACTCCACTCCAGCCTGGGCAACAGATGGAGATTCTGCCAAAAAAAAAAAAAAAAAAAAGAAGAAAGAAAGAAAGAAAGAAAGAAAGAAAGAAAGAAAGAAAGAAAGAAAGAAAGAAAGAAAGAAAAGATACGAAGAATACATCCAGTGTGATCTCATGTAAATAAAGTCCAAAAACAAGCAAAACTGAAAAAGCTCAAAGAAAGAAGATAACCTTAAGAAAATAATAGCTGGGATGAAATAGACTCTCTCTTTCTCTATATGTGTATGTGTGTGTGGGGTGTGTGTGTGTGTGTATAAGTATATACAATTTTCTGAACTATTTGAGAATTTGAGAACTCCTGACCCTTTACACCTAAATATTTCAGTATATATCTAAATATTTTAATGTTTATTTTCTAAGACGACTGTGTCTTATATAACCACAGTTCAGTGATCAAAATCAGAAAATGTAACATTAATATAATAATACGATCTAACCCACAGCCCACATTCTAATTTCATCAATTATCCCAATAATGTTGGTGATACCCATTTTTTTCCCAGTTGTGGATCCAGTCCAAGTTCAGTCCAGGTTTATGCATTGCATTCCATTGTCACATCTTTTAATCTCTTTTGATCTGGAACAGTTCCTTAGTCTTCCTTTTTGTTTCTTGACCTTGACATTTCTGGGGACAGGTCAGCTGCTTTGTAAGAGGTGCCTCAGTTGAGTTCCTCTGGTCGTTTCTCAAGGTGGGGTTCGAGCTCCACGTCGGTGGCAGGAGGGAATCCCACTGCAGTTCTGCTGTGTCCTTCTAAGTTATCTCATTGCAGGGCACGTCATGCAGGTCTGTCCTGATGTTGGCCCTGTTTGCTTTGACCCCTTGGTTAGGGTGGTGTCTGCTTGGCCTCTCCACTGTGAAATCACTATTTCTCCCTTTGTGCTGAGTAAGTTACTGGTAAGGAGAGACTCGTAGACTAACAACGTGTCCTCCTGAGCACCTGCTGTGTGCCTGGCTCTGTGTGGCAAACAGAGGCCAATGGTTTGCCAGGCAGGCACAGCCACATCTCTCACAGGCTTAGCCCACAGAAGGGACCCATAGAAAACAGTGATTGCAGAACCAACTCGGTGCCAGGAACTGTACTCAATGATCCCAGTGCATAAGCTCATTTAAACCTGACCGCAACCCTGATAGGAGAAAACTGAATGAATACGTTACTTGCCTACAGTCAGATGTTTCAGAAATAGCAATAATAATAACAACAATAATAATAATGGCTAACATCCTTTTAGCACTTATTTCCTATTGCCAGGCTCTGTTTTCAGTGCTTTACATGAACTTCTATTTTATAAAAATTATTTCTACCTGGACCTGCCAGAGGAGAAATCCAAGGCACAGAAGTCAGTCATTTGCCATGCCACACAGCTGGTAATTAGGATTTGCATCCAGGCAGTCTGTCCCCAAGGCCACCTTCTTAGCCACTCCTTCATATAATCTTTCTAAGGTGATGCCAATGGGGCGGGGGGTGGGAAGGGGGTGGGGTGGGGGGAGGGGTGGGGGTACACTCACCTGAGTTAGTGTTTCTGGCCTGTTTTTTCCTTTGTTTCAAGAACATGTTCCTTGGACCCATTCAAGCCTGCTGTGGCACACTGAGAAGAGTTTGTGCCTGGACCAGAGGAAAACACAGAGGAGAGGTACATGGGGGACAGGTAGGAGGTGGCATCGGCAGGGACCAGTGAGGGTGCCCCAGGAGGGAGCAGCAAGACTGTCCCTACCACCTACAGCCCTTCCCCATAGCACACTTCCCCTGCACTGGACTCCAGGACCTCATCCCTGACCAGTGCAGGAAACAGCCTTGTGTCTAGAAGGAACTCCTTGCCCTTCATCTGGGACTCTTCCAATGAGCTCTTGGGTTCTACTGAAAGCCCCTGGGTCACAGTGCCAATTCTGCGACACTCACTACTGGCCTGTTTGCACCACCCACGCCTGCAACCATCAACACCATCACCCTAATTTCTCCTGGTCACTGGCCTTTTAGCATCATTAGGCTGAACAGAGGGAAGGCTGTGTTTACAGCTTGGCATGAAGGGAGAACATGCCGATCTCTGTTGCCAGGCTACAAATGACTCTTTCCCCCCACCTATAAGAGAGAAATAATGATTAAAAAATACTCCGTTGCTTGGCAGGCATCTTGGTGGCTTAGCTGTGAATATTCTGGGGCCAGGAGGGACTCTGCCTTTTACAGAACCTGCTGCTTCTCTGGGCTCCTTTGGTTTTGGACCTGTGCTTCATCCATCTTATGAAAGAAAAGGTGCTGACCTGTGATCAATGCAGAAAGCAACATGCTTTTTTTTTTCTTTTCAGGGACACACAACCCCTTGATTATTTGATTCCTCTCCTTGAATGGAGGAGACAGAGTTCTCAAAGGACCAGAGGCAGCAGTATTCCAAAGGGCAGAGCTAAGGTCAAGTACAGAGAAGGAAGGGGACATTCAAGGCAAGAAGGCAGAGGGTCACAAATGGAAGAAAGCAGCAACTGGCTGAGAAGTGGGGACTAGGAAGCAAGAGGAAAAAGACTTCAACCTGGAGGCTGGCGAGCCCTGCCAAAGAGCCTGAACCTGTTCTGACTGCTGCCTCTTCCCTGAAGCTAGGCAAGATTTTCAGGTGTAAATGCCCAGGGCCTGGTTGCACCCCAGTTTGGCTCTGCTAAAGGTGAAGGCTGGCTCACTTATGTCTGAGACATTGGTCTGAGCCCACATGGCCACAGCATGAGAAGAGTGGTCCATGTGGGCTGGGAAGCCCTATGTGTCCTGGATCTCTGAATGTTTTGTAAAACTCTGTTATTTTTGATAAAAATAACATGTTCAATGTGTGTTCATCTGTGTACCTCTATAAGACTTTTCCTACAAATGTATTTAGAACCATTTTCTAAAATAGTCTTTGTCAGACTACATATGCCTTTTGTTACTGCTGTTTGGGTTTGCCTGATGGGTGAAGACTTTAACATTCATTCAAACCCCAAAAGGAGGAGGCATAGGCATCTTGGCACAGGATCCCATCCTATAAAAACCCTAAGAGTTGGGGTAGTTATTATTTTCCCCCTTTAACAAATGAGGAAACAGAAGCTCAGAGCATTTACAGCTCTCTGTAAGGTCACACAGCTAATAGGTGGTAGAAATAGCGTCAAGCCTGGGCCTAGGAGAGCCCAACAATTATGTATTTGCCCTGACATAAAATCGCCTCGACGAGAAACCTACAGAGCATTTCCACAGGCTTCCCCAACCCCTGAGCACAGGAAGTAGAATTCCTTTAGCTTTTCTTTTTCTTGCTTTCTTGTCTTTGTTCTGCAGCCATTTTCTTCTCACAAAGTGTGTTTCCCAGCACAAAAAAGCCTGGCTTTCCAGGAGCGGCACCCACTTTCTGAAGAGTTTACTTGCATTGGGCGTCGGAGTTTAGGATAACTCCATTCAAGGCAGATTTCTCTCCCAGAGAAAGCAACCTGATGAATCAGAAGGGATGTTGTGGCAAATGCTATCAGATGCCCCGCCACCCCGCTTCAGCAGAGGAGGAAGCTTCTGCTCTAGTCCGCACCATCCTGCAATCAATCAGGACAACCTGTGCGAACGCAAAGGCGAGGTGAGTAATCAGCACCATTGCTTTGCCCCAGACAAAGTCCCTCCATCAGGTTTTCCAGCTTGATGTGGACCTCACTACACAAACTGTGATGCCTTCTGGGTCAGCAGAAACCTATGTTTAGCACACCCATGTGTGTTGTTCAGAAAACTGTGCAAATCTCTCACACTATTCCCCCATGAGTTGATAGATGTGGTCACTGACGGTTAATTCACTCTTAGACATGGGGAATGCATGTAAATCAATGGTCTTAGCTGTTATTTTAAAATGTGTATTATTGCATTCCCATGGCACTGGGTCTTATGAACAGAAGGTTTAGCCAGACAGGTAGAAAAATTGTTGGGCACATTCCCCCACACTGGACTCCAGGACCTCACCCCCGATTCTTTGTTGAAATGCGTTTTCAAAGAGATAAGTTGGCTTTGATATTGAAGTTAAGTTTCCCCTGAGTCAAGGGTTTATTCACTCATCCTTTGAACAAATATTTAGTGAGAACCATGTACTATACCAGAGCATTGCTAGACATTGGGGAGGCAGCGATGAAGAAGACATAGCTTTCCCTCCTGTGGAGCTGGCATTCGAGACCCATTCTAAGGTAGAGAGTCTGTTGACATCACTCTCAGGAGAAAATCAAATGCTTGAAAGCTGGTTGATTTTTCCCATGGATGAACAGATCCCAGCACCCACGATATGAGTTTATCACTTCCCAGAAATCAGCCTTGTAACTTGTTGTCAGTCAGGGGAAAATGTCACTGTGGAAAGAAACAGATGACCATAAGAGGGGTACCCAGTGTGTGTTGTTGGGACGGCCCCAGAGAGGGAGGTGGCTGGAGGGTACAGGTGCAGCTAACTTGATGAGAGGTCCAGGTGGGTCAACTTGAATTCCAGGCCTTCCACTTCCTGGTGGTGTGAACTGGGACCTTGCTCTGCTCAATGTTATCTTCCGAGCCTCAGTTTCGTCAGCCATAAATATGGGGCAATAATGTCATTCCCATAGGATCGTTGTTAGAACACAATAAGAGACCTTATCCCAATCACCTGGCATGAAGCACAGCCTCTGCACACACTGATCTCCTTGGACCTTCTCCTTTTAAGGTTTTTCCTTGGCTGGGGCAGTTTCACTCATGTTGCCCATGACAACAGCTTACATGCCTCCAACTTCCTTCTCCCCAAAGAGCCTGGGACACTCTGGAGAGCAGCTGCTTCCATTAACCCCAATGACAATATATTTTTTCCTCCAATCTGGTTCAGTTATGAGAATGAAAGGGGGTACTGTTGATAATCACACCCAAAAACCAGGCGTAAACCAGGACTATGTAAGCCAGCAGGGACATATGGTCACCCTTCCGCTGCTGGTCTTGTCAGCTGTGAGGGTGGGTAGAGAACAGACAGCAAAACCCTCCTTCATGGAATTCTAGCCTCACAGCACAGCCAGAAAAAACAGCTTGATAACCCTCTGGTGCACAGAATTACAAGAGGGCTGCTTCCCCCTACCTCCCACCCCCCCAGTACACAAGACCTGTATGATCTCCTTTCTTTCTAAAAGAGAACCTGCGAATATGTTGGGCTCTTACTTCTACAATTAGGCCATATTTGGCTAAGGTGAATGGATTTTTTTGTGTAATTAAAGTCCCAAACCAGTTGACTTTGTGTTATTCAAAAGGGAGATAATCCTAGATGGGCCTAGCTAAAGGAAGTGTAGGTGCTTGCTAGAAGGACTTGGCCCTTCCTGAAAGAGGATGTGAGTAAGAAGGAAGGAAGAGGTTGGCTGCTCTGTTGGGAGACAGACATGAGACTAGAATCTGATGGCAGCTTCTAGGAGGTGAGAGAGATCCCTGGCCAGCTGCCAGCAAGGAAATGGAAACCTCACTTCCAGAGTTGCAAGCAGATTTTTTCCAACAGCCTAAGGGAAGCAAATCTCTCCCAAGTTGAGCCTCCAGGGGAGAATGCAGCCTGGCTGACACCTTGATTTCAGCCTTATAAGACCCTTACTGGGAAGCCCAGCTGAGCCCTGTACAGACTTCTGACCTGTAAGTATGAGATTTTGCAAACAAATGTTGTTTTTAGCCACTCAGTTTCTGGGAGTTTGTTAAGCAGCAACAGCAAATGAATAGAATACAACCCCCAACTCACATGGCCATTTTCTTCCATCCTGTACCCACTCCGACTCACCCCACAGAGCCCCCCCTGCTTTGCCATAGCCCCATTCCCTGAGCCCAGCTCCAGACTCCCACCTCTAGGGCACACTCATTGCCCACTGCCCAAGGTCCTGGGACCTCCTGCACACACACCACCTCTGCTGTCGGCACCCATGGCCTTGTGAGTATTCTTCTGCTTAACCAAGTTTCACTGGATGTCACAGGGTGCCATGCCCTTTGCATAGGCTGTTTCTTATGCCAACATGAAAAGTATAAATAGCTCTTTCCTACAGTTGTACAAATGAAGGCTGAGAGTGAGTTAACTCATCCAGGGTCAATCAGATGCTGAGTAATGGAGCCAGAATTTGAAACAGGACCTTCTGACTCCAAAGTCAGCTCTCTCTGTACCATGCCTGTTGCCTGCTATCCTGTTCAACTGTTTGGTGTCCCTGATCCCAAGAGAGCTGCATTGCTGTGTTGCTTGACATTTTAAAACATGCTTTCATATAATTCATCTCATGTGATCCTCCAATGAACCATGTGAAATATTGTTCCTGCAATTTATAGGTGAGAACACTGAGATATGAAGAATATTCATTCATTTACTCCTTCCACATACATGAATTGAATATCTAAGAGGTGTCTTATAGTACTAGACTCCAGGAGACAGAGAAGAACCAACCACTAGCCCCTTCCTAGGGAGCTCACAGTCCAGGGTGGGAAGCTGATGTGTAGAGAGTCATGTGCTACCCAGGGTAGAATCTGCTGAAGACAGTAGATTTCAGTGCTGATACAGATGGACACTCAGAGAAAGGATTTCAACCCAGGTATGGGGAGAGAGTCAGAATGAGAGGGCTTCCAGGAGGAGGTAGAGAATGACATGAGTTGAACCTTTAAGAATGAGTGAGTGAACTTGTGGGATCAGGGGTGAGGGTACAGAAGGCCTTGGCGGGACACATGACTGGTATGAGGCAGAATAAGACTCAGAGTAGGTGGCTTCCCGGGCACCCACTGCTTTTCAAGGGAGGTTGAGGTAACTGGTTGAGTGGGGCATCTCGATGGGCATTCCTGGGACCCACATCTGGCATTTAGTGGAAACAGAAACAAATGCACATGCACACACACGCACATCAACACATTTAGGTAACACACATGTATACTCACACATACTTGTGCTTCCAACACAGACACACCTACACACTGACACATACAAACACATACATGCACACTCACACACACAGGCACATGCGTATCCATACACACACATGCCCACAAACACATACTTACCCATACCCACACATGTACATACATATACAGGCACATACATGTCTCCCCACACACACAACCCCTTTTCAGGAAACCCAGCAGCAGCCCCAGCTCAGCAGAGCCACTGAGACGCCCCGAGAACTGGTTCTTATTATGCAGAACAGAAAGGCAGGTGAGAAACTGTCAAACGCAGTCCCCAACCGCCCATTGAGAACCAAACAGACAGCACTGTGGTTTCCAGGCAAATTCCAGCTGCTTCCCTGGCGCCCAGGGTACATAAACCCAAGAATCCAAATGATGATTTTCCCCTTCAGAAGAATAACTTTGTCCGGCCCTCCCTCCTCAGGCCAGACAGGTTCCATAGCCCTCGCCCTCACCCCCGCAGGCCAGGAAATCCCACCAGGATGAAGTGCCAGCCAAGGGACCAGCCAGCTCCATCAATTTCTCCTGAAAAGCTCAGAAGAAATTTGGTCATAGAAAATCCCTTCTCTCTTTGCTAATAAAACTTACCAGTGCAGGGCAGGAGGCGGGGAGGAGAGGGACCGCAGACACTCGCCTTGCTAAATTACTTAGAGAAATGGCCCTGATCAGCCATCCAGAAGCAAGAAAGGAAGAAAGCGATATAACGTTTAACCAGCCCGATTTTTTTTTACCTAGATTTTCTCAGTCCTCTAAGCAGCTCTGTGATATTGCATCAGCTCCATTTCATAGTTGAAGAAACGGAGGCACAGCTATGCACCAGAAATAATGTAGATTTCGGAGAAAAATCAATGTGGGTCTGAGCCCCTGGCCTGCTCCCTTGCTTGCTGTACGGCTCAGGCTGGTGGCTTCATCTCTCTGCATCACAGTTCTTCCTTAGGACCCCCAGACCAGATGGGCTGATGCGAGATCGAGTGGATAATATAGGAAAGACACAGCACCGATCTTGGACACAGGAGGCACTCAGACATGCTCATTCCTCACCTTGTCCTGTCTGGCTCCTCTCTCTTCTGAGGTTCCTTCTAATTCTCCCTTGTCTTCCCTCTACAGTGATAAGGGAAGCCCCTGCAGCCCTGGGGGCTGGCTTTCCTGTGAGCTTACCAAGCAGGCACTTGGCTGGCACCTGTACCTTGCCCTTCTTGCTGGAGCCTGGGAGAACTAGAACCCCAGCTTTCACACAACAAAAGTTGGGGCACATCATTCTTCCCTAATCTGCAGAGAGGGCTCTTCCAGTTTTTGGCCAGGAGGGCCTTGGCTCCTGGGTTTCTCTGGATTGGCCACATTTGCTCTTGGCTTCATGAGCCTAAGGGAGCCCCATGTCAGCCTTCACCAGAGACCTCCTCTTCAAGCCCACGTCTATGAAACTCAGAGTTTACCCAACAACCTGGAAATAATATGACCTCTGGGGCGATGAAATATGGGAATCCCAAGTAGGCAGATCAGTCTGGAATGGCATGGTCCTGAGGAAGCAATGGACTTAAACTTAAAAGGAAATGTGGGCTAAGTAACAGGGAAATTCCCTTAGGAAGAGCTATTAGACTGTGAAATAGTATTCCACAGGAAATGGCAGAGGGGGTGCCCTGAGGTATTTAAAGCCTTGCTGGACTAAGTAATAGAAAACGTGTGGTGTATGGAGTGGCCAAGAACTGGCCTCAGGGGAGCAGCTGCTGTGCCCTAATAGGTCTTCACCATAGAGATGTCATTTCCAAGCCCGCCTTAACGTTATGGAGCTGCACTGCTCTTTCCAGGCAAAGAAGGCGTTCACTTACAGCACAGAATAAGCCGCAGGATTTAAAGTAGGCACCGCCATCATATCCTTCACAGGATGGCGATCCCTAACAAACAGATCTGCAGATTCAGTGCAATCCTTATCAAAATTCTAGCTGCATTTTTGTGAAAATTGAGAAGCCAATCCTAAAATTCACATGGAATTGCAAGGAACTCAAAATAGCCAAAAAGACCTTTAAAAAGAAGAAACAAGTTGGAGAACTCTCACTTCCTGATTTCAAAAATTACTACAAAGCTACAGTATTCAAGACAGTGTGGTATTGGCACAAGGATAGATATATAGATCAGTGGAATAAAGTTCAGCATCCATAAATAAAACCCTTACATTTATGGTCAATCGATTTTTGACAAATATGTCAAGACAATTCAATTGGGAAATAACAGTTAAATCAACTAACAGCGCCAGGATAACTGAATATCCACACGCCAAAGAATGAAGTTGGACTCCCACCTCACGTTATATGCAAATGAATTATGGATGAAAATGTAAAACCTGAAACCATAAAACTCTTAGAGGAAATTATATGAATAAATCTTCAAGACTTTGGGTTAGGCAATTGTTTCTTATATATGACATCAAAAACACAAGCAACAAAATGAAAAATAAATAAATTGAGCTTCCTCAAAATTAAAAACTTAAGTGCTGTCAGCAATATTATCAAGAAAGTGAGAACAAAACCTATAGAATGGAAGAAAATGTTTGCAAATAATATATTTGATAAGACATTAGTATCCAGAATACATAAAGAACTCATAGAACGCAATAACAAAAAGACAAATAACCCTATTTAAAAATGAGAAAAGAATTTCAATAGACATTTATCCAAACAAAATACACAAATTTTCAATAAACACATGAAAAGATGCTCAACATGGCTAGTGGTAAGGTATTAGGAAGTGCAAATCAAAACCATAATGACATACCACTTCATATCCACTAGTATGGTTAAAAAGAAAAAGAAAAATAATAACAAGTTTTGGCAAGGGCATAGACAACTTGTAACCCCATTTTTTACTGGTGAGAATGTAGAATAGTGCAGCCACTTTGGAAAACAGTTTGACATTTCCTCAAAATATTAAACATAGAGTTACTAGTAATTTCTCTTCTCAGCATATGCCCAAGAGAATTAGAAAACATTGTACATCAATATTCATATCAACAATATTCATAATAGCCAAAAAGTGGAAACAACCCAAATATCTATCAACTTATGCATGAATAACCACAACGTGTTATATCCATACAATGGAATATTACTCAGCCTTAAAAATGAATGAAGTACTGATACACACTTCAACATGGATGAACCTTGAAAACATCGTGCTAAGTGAAAAAAGCCCATCACAAAGGGACACATATTGTATGATTCCGTTTATGTGAAATGTCCAAAACAGGCAGATTTATAGAGACAGAAAATACATAAGTATTCACCAGGGGCTGAGTGTGGGAAGAATGAGAACAACTGTGAATAGGTACAGGATTCTGGGATCTTCCTAAAACTAGAGAATGGTGATGATTTTACAGTTCTGTGAATATACTAAAACTCAAAAATATTACACATTAAAAGGGTGGATTTTTTGGGTATGTGAATTATATCTCAATTAAGCTGTTATTTTAAAAATACGATACCCATGAAGCTATCATATACTATTTTGGTCTACATCTCTCTTTCCATAAATATTAGTTTACATAAATGAGTTCTAACTTACACAGACGTTTGTATCTTGCCTTACTCTCCGTTAGGTTTTAAGGCTCTTCAGTGTTATTACAAACACTTCATTGATATTATTGTTCACAGTTGCCTAATATTCCATCATATAGTTATAACTATAACTTAATTCTCTACTACTGTGTTACTGGGTGTTTGAATTCTTTTCCCAGGTTTTGTTGTTATAAATAGCATCTTTGTTGAACATCTCTTCATATAAACTCTTATCTGCAGTGTTTCTTTTTTTTTTTTTTTTTTGGATTGCCTTTTTTTTTTAGGATAGATTCCTAAAGTTGAGATTTCTGGGACAAAACAGTCAGCTTTAAGATCCTGCTATCTATGAGCTCGCTTATTTGCTCCAAATTACTCTTTTTGAGATACTTGATGAAGATACACTTAGTTTGCTGGAATAAGGAGTCACACCCACCAGGTGTGAGGGAGAGAGATTGCTGCTATTGAAGTCAGAATTACTCAGTGTCATAGTTCAGCTCCGCCACTTAACACTTTGAGAGATCCTGACCAAGTGACCCCACTGAAGCTCGATTTCCTCTCCTGTAAATATAGGAGGTAATATAGGCACAATAATGCTTAGCTATTGTCAAGAAGATAATATGCATTAAATGTCCAGTGTCCCTCCGTCAAAACTAGGCACTTGTCTCATGTCCATTATTCTTCTTCCTTCTCTTCACAGCCTTCAACTCCATCATAAATATGCACCTTTGGCTTCTGAGTCCTGTATATGTCTGACTCCTAGGATGTGAGTCACCGATCTGGCAGCATGACTAGGTGACATTATGATGCTGTGGACAGCAATGGGCCTGCAACCTGAAGCTCAGGATCCAGGCCCACCCCTCATTAGCCTGTGATCTCAGGAAACCCCTCAACACATTTTGAGTCTGGCCCTCATTAAAAATGGAGGCAAGGAGGCTATTTTACATCAGCCCAGGGGTAGGGGTCAGGCAAGAGGCTGGATGTAGCAACGCGCAATGTACTGCCATGGTCTCTATAAACATCAGTTAGTTTTATTGTCAGCAACTTGCTTTAAATATACTGGGGCTTGCTTCTGTGAACTAACTCATTTCATTTTCTCCTACTAGATTATAGGCCCATAGACTGACTGGGTAAGCCTCGAATCACTACATACTATAGTAATTACTAATTACATGTTTCTGCCTTCTGTGGCTTATTAGTAAATTGCATGTAGATGGATCTAAAAGTAATTGCCCTTCTTTCATAACTTCAGCAGCCTGCAGAAATCACAAAGAATTACCTTATTTACTTCCTAAGTGATTCCCAGTGGTCATTTATCAAATATACAGAAGAAAAAAATCATACAATCATCAAATATTCTTCTGCTTACTAATGATAGAGAGGGTCACAAGAAATCTTGAATGGAAAAGGCTGTTAAACAGCTGCCGACTAACTGTATGTAAATATCCCCCTGTGGGTAATAGCTTAATTTTGATCATTGTTCAAAAGACCAAGCACTTTAAATTATTAATAGGTGTCAGCTACAAAAGAATGTTTAACTGGAAACTTACAAGAAGAGAGCTTGATCCGTACAAATGACGTGGTGTCTTTCACCCCCCTGGTGTGTGGGAAAGAAAGAGGGGTGGAAAGAAAAGGATAAAAAGCACGATAGGCCAAAAGTCTGCCTCATTTTTTCCCAGAGTGGGGTTTTGTGGCTTGTGGGTGTATTGCTTTACCACCTTGGAAACTGGGCTGGGCTACTTTCATTTATTAGGTTGGCTATACATAGTTTTCCTCTCTTTAAGCAAAGTTGACTCCAACTAAGCCAAAAACTGGAAGCCACTGAGATTACCAGGTTGTAATACAAGCCTTTATACTTTTGCTGTGATAAAAACTTCTTCACATCCAAACACATGGCATAGACACTTTTCATTGTGAACAGCGCTGATGTGATTCTGCTCAAATAAACTGAAGATCCCATTTCAAATGATTCATTTGATAGAAACATCAGGATCACTGATACGTGGATTGACCTCTGTGATCCTTTCCCTAAAAACACATACAGTGGATCATGGGATTGTTGAGTTAATAAGAAAGAAGAAATGGCTTGTTTTTCTGTTTCCTTTTCTTGGTTTTTATGGCAGTATGGACTTCTGGCATTTTGGGTAAGCCATGAGTATTAGAAATGAAAACGAAGGAAGAGGTAGGGCATGAAGGATTAAGGAAAAGGTTCAGGTGTGTATATTATGATCTGCCATGATAAGAAACTCCTTCCTGGTTCTCCTTCCTCCTTCTGTATGCACACCCTCCCTGTCCAGACCTGTAGGATGAAGAGTTAACATGCCCAAGCAGCAACACCACTGAGCACTGAGGAAGCTTTCAGACACGGGAAGGGGCGGGGGGCCACCTCCATCCTTGCCACATTGCCGTTACATTTCTGATGTAGGACAGAAATCATAAGAATGTTGCTAATCAGAGATGCAAACTGCTGATGACAGAACCAGAGCTGGAGCCCAGTAAACAAAGTCCATGGGGATTTTTAACTAGGATTTGTGCTCTGGCCATGTGGGATGGGGTTGGGGGATGTTGCAGGAATAGGTGCCTTGATTGTCCTGAGGCTGTGATAAGAGTCTGGGACAGCCTCACTGGGGCACAAGGCCAAGGCTGTCACCATTCTGGGGGTCCCTTCCCTGCCCTCTCTTGGGCTGTCCTCTCCTCCTGGCTGTGCCGACTCCTATCCCACCATAAATGCATTCATCCTTTGGCTGCCCAACTCCTCTGACCACCCAGGTTGTGAGCCCCATCATCCACAGGGTACTGCTGACAGGATCGAGGTCCCTTGAGCCCAGGCTGAGGTCATAAGTACCATACTGAAAGCTTGCTGTGGTTGTTTTGTAGGTCAATTGAGGCTCCTCCAAAGAGACATAACACTCCTTAGAGAAGGAGAAAGACCACCAACTTTGCACCCTCCTCTGTGCCAGGCCTTGGGCTAGGCCCAGGGAGCTCATAGTCTACTGCTGAAGACAGATGGGTCAGCAACCATGGCACACAGTGCAATGAGGCTAAAGCAAGTGTCAGAACCAGGGTCAGAGGAGACATTGAAGCTGAGTGACCACTCAGGACACAGGGACAGCTTCTGGAGAGAGAGAATGTCTGGATTACATTTTGAGGGATGAAGAAGAGCTTGTCAAGCAGGCAGAAGGGGTCTCCATAGAGCAGGTGTCTTTGTTCCTTGGTGGCTTTTTCCTTCTCTTCCTTAACACACACACACAAGGAGATTGCCTAGAACAACTTTGGGCAGCACATTGCAATTTCTTATTTGGGTCCAACTGGCTACATCAGGCAGCTTCAGAAGCCTCTAGCCACATTATGTGAGCCCCCTTATCATCTTCTGCTGATTGCCTCCTAGAAATGAGGCAACTGAAACCAGAACTGACCAAGTCGCCGCACCTGTTTGCTTGTAATACTTGAACGGTTGTCAGAAACCAATAATAATAAGAGCCAGCATTTTTAGAGCCTTACTATATGGCAAGCATGGTGCCAGTATTAGTCTGTTTTCACACTGCTGATAAAGACATACCCGAGACTGGGAAATTTACAAAAGAGAGAGGTTTAATGGACTTACAGTTCCATGTGGCTGGGGAGGCCTCACAATCATGGTGGAAGGTGAAATGCATGTCTCACATGGCAGGAGACAAGAGAAGAGAGCTTGCACAAGGAAACTCGCCTTTATAAAACCATCAGATCTCATGAGACTTATTCACTATCACGAGAATAGCATGGGAAAGACCTGCTCCCATGATTCAGTCACCTCCCACCTGGCCCCTCCCACAACACAAGGGAATTCAAGGTGAGATTTGGGTGGGGACACAGCCAAACCATATCAGCGCCTCAACTCACATTATCATAAGACTGATTTGGATGCTATTAATATTCCCAACTTACAGATGAGAATAGCAATACTTAGCAAAATTAGACAATTGGCCCAAGGTTGCACAGCTAGTAACCAAGCAGAGCCAGGATCAAATACTGTTTTTTCTGATGTTCACAATTAAGCTCTTGGCCTTGGAATTCCTGACATAAGTTTAGGTGTTTGGTGGCCATTCGGATGCCTTATTTATGAGCCACTGTTTGTATAGGGCTTTTTATTCTCAGGAGGGTGAACGGTACACAGATGAAAGACATTATTTCTAGGGGAACTTCATTCATTCAAGTAACCTCCAGTATGGGCTAGCTTAGTGCTGGGCACTGCCCTAGGAGCTGGGTTATGAGGAGAAGAGCAGGTGTTTCTGCCCCCAGAAGCTGAGTCCCAGACAGAGAGACATATCACGATGATGCAGTATGTGGTTTGGCCATTTAAGCGTTTCACAGGAGAGGGGAAGATCCCTGGTTCCTGTTGCAGGGAGTCAGGGTGGAGTTCTCAGGAAAGATTCACCTTGAAGGATAAGTGGATGAACAGGATGGGCCAGAACTCTAGCAAAGGCATAAATCCATGAAATCAAGGTTCTACACAGCCAGGGAAAAAGAGATGCCAGGGATATGGGGGAGGCTGGAGCTAAAAGATAGGCTATGGCCAAGAAAGCCTCGTGAAGAAAAGTGGGGTTTTATTTTGTGACTGCATAAGGGCTATTGCTGAGCTTTTCTTAGCCGAGACATATTAGCACCAACCAATTCAGGCTTTTTTGTTTGTTGGCTTGTTTGACTTTTCCAGGGCAGAGGTTCCCAAACTTTAGCCTGCACCAGAATCAGCTAGAAACCCCCAACCCCAGCAACTCTGATTCAGTGTGTCTGGGGTGGGGCCAGAGAATTCTCATTCCTACAGAGTCCCCAGGTGCTGCTGGTACCACTGGTCTGTGGCCACTCTTGGAGAATACTACATGGAATTCCCACTCCGCTTACCAGTGATGAGATTAGGATGGGCACATGCAATGAGGGAAGTCTGCTGCAGGCTTCTGGAAAGGATCTCTCAGTATTAAAGAAGAGAACCCAGGAGGAGATGGTGCTTTCTCCCCGCTGGAGATTTTCATGTCTGATATGATACCTGGAACTGCTAAAGCCATCTTGCAGCTGTGAGGGGAACAAGCAGGACTAAGTCAGCTCACTGAGCAAAAAATCTGGAAAGCACCTGGATCCTTGATGGTGGCATAGAGACATGAAATCAGCCAACCCTGCAAACCCCAGCCCACGGACTTAGCATGGGAGGCAATGACTGTGCCTTATTGTTCAAGCCCATTCAGAACTTGTTTTCTGCTGCTTGTAGCTGAAGCCATCCTCATAGGCACAATATACACTCTACGGTTTGCTTTATTGCTGCTTAACCACTGCTGCTTTGTTCTGTGTCCTCTTCTTTCTTTTCACCCCTTTCTTGGTCTTTCAAACATCTCTGCCTCCCAGTGGCTATTTACAGGCTGCTGGCACTACATCTATCTATCTGACCTGGGCCTCTCTCCTTGATATGGTGTGGCTGTGTCCCCATCCAAATCTCACCTTGAAGTTTAATAATCCCCACATGTCAAGGAGGGAGCCAGGTGGAGATAATTGAATCATGGGGATGGTTTCCCCCATACTGTTCTCATGATAGTGAACAAGTCTCATGAGATCTGATGTTTTATAAATGGGAGTTCCCCTGCACAAGCTCTCTCTTGCCTGCTGCCATGTAAGATGTGTCTTGCTTCCCCTTCACCTTCTGCCATGATTGAGAGGCCTCCCCAGTCATGTGGAACTGTGAGTCAATTAAACCTCTTTCCTTTATAAATTACCCAGTCCTGGGCATGTCTTTATTAGCAGCATCAGAACAAACTAATACTCTCCTCCACTTATCCAAGTGTCCACTGGACAACTCCACTGATGTAGCTGCCAGCACCACTCATACTATATATACAGAGTTGAGCTCACCTCTATGGAAAGTTCTCTTCCCTCTCTGCTCCCTATTTCTGTGAACTTCTCCATTCCCCTTTACCCAAGGTGGACATTTGGGGGTCATCTTTGTTTCCTTTCTCAGTTTCCATAGCTAATCCTTTGACAAGTCTAACTGCCCCTGTCTCTAACACAGGGATCTTCCACATGGTGCTCAGTTCATGCCATGGCCAGTATTCCGGTTTGCTTCTCTTTTCCCTCACTTTGAACCTTGTGATGATGGCCTCTTATCTGGTTTTCCCACTTAAGACCCTCTCCACCTTCTAGCTGTCCTCCATCCTTGCACAAGAGTGGTCTCTCTAGAACATGATTTGCAAAACATGACCCCTGTGCTGGGAAGCAATTTGTGTTATAATGAGCCCTCGAGGTGTGTCTGAGATCACTGAAGTTTGAGAACCATGAGTTCAGATTGCTCTGGTTTTCCCCCAGGCATCCTCTTCCCTGATGTGCAGAGCCCTTAATATCTCATCTAAATCAGGTTTTATTTATAAGAGAGAAAGGGAAAATGGCTCTTCTGTAGACAACCACAAGCATCAACTTTGGCACCATTGGTAAAAACATTAGCGAAAGATGGGCATGGAAGAAGCATATCGTGGATGCCAGTAGTTTTTAAATCATTCACCAGAGATTTATGGAATAACTACTCTATGTCAGATACCTTACAAGCACTGAGGTGCTCTTCTATGTTTTTTTGTTTTTTGTTTTTGTTTTTGCAACTCAGCATTTATTGTCTTTCTTTCAGCAGCAGTCCCCAAATGATCCTCTGGAAACCTGCCATACTCAGTTCAAGTGGAGCTGGCCCTTACCCCAGCTCCAGGAGTGGACATGTGACTCTTCCTGGCCAATCAGAGCTTAGCGCTGCCTTGCAAGAGTGCTTGGTTTAGGAGCAGGCATGTGACCCAAGCCAAGGCTCCAATCAGTGCTAACCCTGGAACTTTCACTTACAGGCTCTGGAAGGAGGTTTTTCTTTCGTGCTCTACAGCAGTGAAGAATATAAGCCTAGGGCTTCTTAGAGGCCAAAGATGCTCTCTAAGAATAAAGCCAAGGAGAACAGATAAATAGGATGAATGATCGGTTGCTGATGCTGATGTGTGCATCCCTGAACAAGACAATTTCTGAAGATTGGTCTGTCCTCAGACTTTTCAGTTATGAGAGCCAATTAATTACCTGTTTTGCTTTAGCTAGTTTGCGTTTGGTTCTCTATCACTGCAAATAAAAGAATCCAAATACACTAGCCAGAAGGGCCGCAGCCCAGAGTAGAATGAGATCTGGAGAAAATGAATTTTATTTTATTTTATCTTATTTATTTATTTGTCTTTTATTTTATTTTTTTTTGTGGGGGGTACAGAATCTTGCTCTGCCACCAAGGCTGGAGGTGCAGTGGTGCAATCTTGGCTCACTGCAAGCTCCACCTCCTGGGTTCACACCATTCTCCTGCCTCAGCCTGCCCAGTAGCTGGGACTGCAGGTGCCCACCACCACGCCCAGCTAATTTTTTTTGTATTTTTTAGCAGAGACAGGGTTTCACCATGTTAGCCAGGATGGTCTCGATCTCCTGACCTCGTGATCTGCCAGCCTCAGCCTCCCAAAGTGCTGGGATTACAGCTGTGAGCCACCGTGCCTGGCATATTTTATTTATTTTTGAGACAGTGTCTTGCTTTGTTGCCCAGGCTAGAGTGCAGTGGCACAATCATGGCTCACTGCAGCCTGACCTCCTGGGCTCAAGCAATCGTCTCACCTCAGCCTCCCCAGTAGCTGGGACTACCAGCGCACACCACCACACTGAGCCAATCTTTTGTACTTTTTGTAGAGATGGGGTCTCACTATGTTGGCCAAGCTGGTCTTGAACTACTGGGCTCAAATGATCCACCAGCATCGGCCCCTCAAAATGCTGGCATTACAGGCATGACCACTGCTCCCAGCCAGAAATAATGTTTAAATTTATACTCAGAGCAAGAAGGATGAAGAAGAAATTAACCTGCTTTTCTAGATCAATAAGATAATGCAATCGCGATGATGGAAATGACCTTTGTCTTTCCAGTCCAGATGATACCGTTTGAACTGAAAGGAGAGCTCAGGATTCTGGAGAGGTAAGAGGCACCCAACTGACAGCCTGATGTTAATTCGAGACCTCCATCCACTGGGCAAAAGGAGAGCTTGAACATGGAGTCACTCATCCTTGGCTGGAGATGTTGAAGGAGTTGTGAAATGAGAGAGAAAGGAAGACACTGAGTATCACGATGCAGGCCCATGAATTCTCTTTCCTCCGAACCCTGGCTGCTGGCCCAGTGCCAGGTAGAGAGCAGGTCCCTGAAAAATTTTGAGGGATGAATGGAGATGAGCCAACCTATTCTAGATTTCTAAAATGACATGAGGGCAACACTTAAACAGCTATGTCAGATGTTGTTCCTGAGCAATCACACAGCAATTAAAGGAATGGTTTTGCATTGTCCATGACCTTCTATTGGTTTCTAGCAATCACAGTCTCCATGTAAAGACTAATCCTGGTGCAGAAATCTGATTTTCTCTTCCTTCCTTATTCCTTTTGTTCTTTCTTCCTTTCTTCCTTTTTTTGCACATGCACGAGTGTGTGTGTGTGTGTGGTGTAACTATCACATAAAGCAGGAAAATGAAATTGGGCACAGACAATTTGGATTTCAAGAAGGTATATAGTAAAGTTTTTATGATATCCTTTTGGGTAACATGAAAAATTCTAGCTAAGGTAATAATACATTCAGGAAGGTGGACTTATAACCACTTCAAGAATCGTACTCAGGGCTTGCTGATTAATTCATTCCTGTTCAGCTTGTCAGTTCAGGAGCTCTCCAGGGGCCTGAGAAAAGGCTTTGTCCTTGACTCTCTCCTGTTAAAACAAATTTTACAAATACTTGAATGAAGGCATAGAAAGCTCCTTATCAAATCTGTGAATGCCACTGAACTAGGAGAGGACAACAAACCAGGCGGATGGGAGAATTCCAATCCCAAAGCCCTCAGTGGGCTGTGGTGATGCAACAAAACTTATAAGGAAAAAAAAAAAAGACATAATGGGGAAAAGTGTCTGCAATTGTGTCCAATAACCTTTATTATACAAGCACAGGGTGAGAGAGCTATGTCTTGGGAGCAGCCTGAGCAGGAGAAGAGAGTTTTGGTCATCAGCTGTTCAGTACCTGCAAACATTGTTCTCTACCTTTTCCTGGGGTGGAAGCAACTTGAGGTTGCATTAACAGAAGTAGAGAGTGTGGAACAAAGAAGGTCAAAGTTCCATTAAAGGACTTCCTAGTCAGGCCTCACCTGAGTCTTGTATTCAGTTCTCAGTTCTAAGATTGAGAAGGAAAACTGACAATCTCAAACATACTCAGATATAATTACAAGAGTAGAAGGGAGCTTTGCTGCTCTGCTTGAACAAAATTCAGAAGGTTCACGATTCCTATTTTCAACTCTTTAAAGGACTGTCAAGTGAAAGGGAGTAAACACAGTGTCTTCTACCCAAGAGTTAAAATTAGCATTAAATCCTCCTTATTTTGTGTCTTTCCATATTTTGAGCCAAAGAACAACAGTATAGCTGCCCAGAGTTGGAACAACTGCATTGGAAGGAAATGCAGAAGTGAGTTCCCCACAAGCAGAGGTATCCCAGCCGATGTTGGACACCAGCTTATAAGAGGTTTTCTCAAGGAGGCTTGAGCATTGGCTGAGTGATGAGAAGTCATGACTATACCAAGATCCCATTTGCCTCCACACATCTAAGTCTCCATGACAAGCGCATTCCCAGAAGACCCAAGGTGGGAGGAGGAGAGATGACAGTAGGAGGAGGAGACTGTCACAGTGTCCTGTGCAGCATGGAAGTGGAGGAGGAAGTAGAATGAGACTGGTCCACTGGTCTGGCATCTCAGGGGTCGCTGGTGACCTTTGAGAGAGCAGCAGGGCACTTTTCATTTCAAGGGATGCCACTCCCACTATCTCTCAAGTCTTCACCATGATACAGAAAACCATTTCCAAAATTAAATCTCCCTTGAGAGCACACATTAATAACACACCAAAGGATGCATAAATTACACCTACAAGTCATATTCCATTGCAGATGAATACATTGAATAATGTCACATTCCAGCCACATCAAAAGGCATACCATAATTAAGCTACCACAGGTGGCTTGAAGAGCAATGTTGGAAACGCTATGGACACACACAGCAATCTAGATTAACAAAGCCTGAAAAGTCTCCCAATTTGGAGCTGCACCATTGTAGTGTAGGATTAAAATTGTGGGTACTGGAGTCCTGGATTTTAACCCTGATCCCACCATATACCTGTTTTTAAACCTTGAGCAAGTTACTCAACCTCACTGAGCCTCAGTTTCCTGATCTGTAAAATGGGAAGCTAACATGGGGTTCTCAGTAGTGTTCATTCAAATAATGTATGCAAAATGCTTTGCACAAAATAAACACCTAACACAAGTCCACTATATTCTAGCTCTCACAGGCATGAGTCCGTGTGTTTGACTACAGCTTTATGTCAAAAATCACCCAACTGCTACTACCTGTTAGCTTCACACTTGTCATATGTTTACTTCAAGTGGGCATTCCTAGTTATTTTTAAGCTGAAATGTGATTGCTGCATTGACATCATGATTATAGTGCTCGTGGTTGATTGGGTGAAACTCTCCCACCTAAAGTGAGGGGATTGTCATCTGTTTTGATTCACGCTCTTAGCCTGAGAGGATGACTAATAATCAATGTCCCTTGTTCAACAAGTCAATCACTGAGCTATGTCTGGTTCATGATTATTTAGCAAGGCAGTGGCAGCGTGAAGGAAAAACATCAACTTGGATGTTGGCAGACTAGAATTTAAGTCTTTCATGTCCTCTCACGATGTGACTTTGGACAGTTCTCTCATCCTGACATATGATGACATCATCTGACCCTCATGACAACCCTGTAAGACAGGCATTATTAGCAGCCTACTTAGGAGAGTCACATTTTATCAAGCATTCTTTCATCCATCTCTCTGTGCATATATGCATGCAAATTCTGTAACAAACACGCTGTTTTGCTTATGGACACCTTAATTCACTTTTCCCCTTTTACTTATTTCTGTCTCCCACATCTCTCCTTTCCTCCTACTTTCTGACTTTGCCTTGCAATACATCTCTCCAAAGCCCAGGCTACCAGTACTAATAACCTGAAGTCTGTCCTCCACATGCCATCCTCAAGGGTCATATATCGTCATATATAAATGTACCTCTACTCTTGTTTTTGTGAAATGGGATCATATTTTACACCCTTCTCTGCATTAGAAACCCCTCTCTCCAGGTCAACTGGTGCATATTTTTTGAATGGTAGCACAGCCTTCCACACTATAGAATAGAGGTTCAGCTGGGATTACACCCACTCCCCTTCTGCTGGGCACTCACCTTGCTATCTCAGCTCCTACCCCATGACAGACAATGGTGTAATAAGCATCCCTGAACACACACACACACTATTCCTTTTGGGTGCTTTGATTCCACAAGCTAGATTTTAATATCTCTATTATTCAGAGAGGAAAACCAAGAGATATAGATGTTAGGGGTTTTGTCTAGAATCACACAGCCAGTAAGTGTCAGAAACTGTTCAAATGACTGGGCACTGTATTGCATGCAATTTATTCCATCTCACACTCTTCCTCTCCCTCCAACTGTTTACTGATAGAAATAAGTTTCTTTCCACCAAACTGAGTCAAGTCTTCCTCTGAATCCGCTCATCTCCTGGGCAGAGATGGCCAAGCATGTAGGAGTCAAAGAGTATCCCAGTGACTCTGGATGGAGAGAATTCAACGCGGACAAGCAGGAATTCAGTGCAGCTGCCAGTGCTGGCATGTGGCAAGGACTTAGGGAAGTCATGCTAAAAATATTTCATTTGCTCAATAAATAAGTATCGAACACCAACAGTGCTCCAGGCTAGCGGGGAGCCAACTTTGTTTCAGCCCTCTCTGAAGGTGGCATGAGCAGCCTAGGGCCTAATTCATTTCCATGTAGGGGACCTCAACATCAGGCTTGGGGTTTCTGAGTGTGCTGTCAAGGGACTTCAAGTTCCCTGTGATTGGTTGGACCAGACTGGCCCCAAAATTCTGTGACCCTGTTCCTGAGCCAACTGTCTTCATCGGTGGACTGGGGAAAGGAGAAGTTTACAGGATTGGGCCTAAGGGGTCTTGTATGTCAATCTACCGTCTTACTAATGAGAAAACGAAGGCAACAAAGGGACTCCTGCATAGTGTTCCAGGGAACTGGTGAGAGGGTGGGGACATGAATCTAGGGCTCCAGGCTTTATTGTTCTTTGTTCTTGATTGTCGTTATTGCAGTTAATGTGGACCTGCATTCTTTTCCTCTCTACAAATCCTGATGATCTCTATGTTCTGAATGTTTGTCTCCCTCCAAAATTCATATGTTGTGACTGAATTCCCAGTGTAATCATATTAAGAGGTGGGAACTTTGGGAGGTGATTAGGAGAATGGGATTAGAACCCTTACAAGGAGGCCAGAGGCAGCCTGCTCCCCACTTCTGCCAGGTGAGGACACATAGAAAGCACCACCTTTGGGGAGGAAAGTGAACCCTCACCACACATCAAATCTGCTGGCGGCTTGACTTCAGACTTCCCAGTTCCAGAACTGTGAGCAATGCATTTCCATTGTTTATAAATTCCCCAGTCTGAAGGATTTTGTATAGCAGCCTAAACAGACTCAGACATGAGCTGCACACAGATTAAAATTACGAGCTACAAGGCCCACTCAGGCCTGAGTTTGATTTTCAGCTCTCCTACCTATTGGGTGGCCTCAGGAGACTTATTTACCCTCTGTGGGTTAGGAAGAGTAGCCAGTCCCCTAGGCTCCTGAGGCTTCAATGAAGCAGTGACTTAAAAGAGCTTAGCAGGAAGCCTACCACATAGTATGCACTCAATTAACATTGGCTGCATGCTTTCTTTCCTATGTCCTGCTTTAAATTCTTGCAAAACCTCTCTGTGTTTCCCAAAGCCTCTGATACAACTTTTTTCCCCAAAAAATACTTCTTTTGTTGTATGTGTAGACATGGGCCCTGTCTATGAAGCGATTCCAAACCCTATTTTGCAGCCTTTCATCCACTGAACCCCTGAGGAGTTGCTAGCCTGCACTTAACTTCTCCAGAAGCAACATTCTGCTGACCACTTTCTGGTGAGCACAGCAATGAACTTGTCAAGGAGCCAGCCAGGAGGAGTGGGAGCCAGGGAGGCAGGTGTGCACAGGCCAGGCAGGAATGGGGCCATCCATCTCCATCCTTTTCTCCATGTCCAAGTGTAAAGGGATTGTGTCTACAAGCCTGTCTCCGCCAACCTCGGGGAAGAAGCCAAGTCATTTCATCTGAAATTTTTACTTCCACCACAAGGGAAGGTTCCAGGGCAATTAGAACTATTGTAATTTCTTATTAAGGTCAAAAACAAATTGTAGGTATAGCCCATGAGTCACCTTCCTACACAGAAACAAATGAAATCTTCTAAGCGAATTGGTGAGCCTGTGTGTCCCACCCTTAATAATTGGGGAAAAGGGAGGGTACTGCCATCTCCTTCCTGCCTCTGAAATGCTCACTTTTTTTGGAAACCCAATAAAATTAATTCAAAGCATGGATTAATAATTCATCTTGATATGTAAATAATTCATCATGAAAGTAGCCATATCACATTTTCACATTTTGAAGCCTATGCACTCCTTTATCGTGGGAGAGATGGATTTCCCCAGTTGACCTGCCGGAGTGGGTAAGGGACTGGGCACTCAGCCGCCCACACCTCAAGGATGCCAGAGCCCAGATCCAAGCCCGATGCCTACTTCGAATCCAGCAGCAAAGATGTTTGTGGCTGCAGTGACCTAAGGTGGCCTGCTGAAGTCAGGATGCTTCTTAATGACCAGAGGGACTTGCTTGCCAGGTCTTTGGCCTCACCAGGATGTAAAAGGAATTCCTGTCGTGATCAAGCTCGCCACTGCTGATTACATTTTGGTCCTCCAGGAGGGCCTCCGAACGATGGCCTATCAATTATGCATTCCCCAACACACCTCACAGCCTGGCTTTCATGAAGGTCCTGTCTGAGCAGGTATCCCCCGCATCATTTCTGGGGAAGAGAAAAGAAATGGGGCACTGTCACCTGACAACCTCCTAAGAGCTGGGTGCAAAGGCCTAAGTGAGATGAGGGAGAAGTTGAGCTGGTCTGGAGGCTTCTCTCTCAAACCCCATGGGGACCAATAAGGGGTCTGGACCACCCTCTGTTGCACGTATGTGGCTCTGGGGTGCAGCAGCCTCTCAATGTGTGCTCTAAGCTGGAGTCTGAGCTTATAAAGGACCCTAGAGTGCAGGTAACGCCAGCAGAGCTGCCCTCGTTTGAAAGATGAGCAATCTGAGGCTCGGAGAGGCACAAGCCTGGGGAATGTTGGCCTGGTAGGCTCTGGCTGGGCTTGAAATAGTCTGTAATCTGGTTGGAAAATCATTCCTGTATCTACTATTTCCCCATGATGGTGGATCCCCACTGATGCTGTGCATTCATTCATGGAGGTCTAGTTCAGAGCCAGACCCAGGCTCAGGGCTGGGGGCTGGGGGATGATGCAGAACCCCTTTTTGTGCCAAAGGAGCTTCCACTCTCAAGTTGGGGGAGGACTCCTAACAAAATCTGGGTGGTGACAGGGTTGTGCCATAGGATGGACAAGACCAACAGCCACACTACAAGCTGGCCTCGGCATCCCTCTCTGTTCACCCCCATTACCCTCCCTCACTCACTGCACGTCGGCCACAGGGGCCTGTGGTCAGTCACTCCCCAAAGCCCCTCCCACGTGGCATGGCTCCTACGGCGCTTCAGGTGGCTGGGTCACTTCACCTTTCAGGTCCTCCTAGCTCAGCTCATCTGACAGAGCTCCCACCCAACTGCTTTTCCTCAGAGCACCTATCACAATTTGTCATCTAGCTCATGTTCCCTCTGCCACTGGACTGCAAGTTCCCTGAGGGCAGGCACTGTGCCCAATTTGTACACTGTTGTAGCCCATCCCATAGCACAGTTGAAGCTCAATGAATGTTGAACAAAAGAATGAACGAACGAATGCAAGGCAGACCCTGAAGCATGTCAACAGAAAGTTAAAACTAAACAGCCCCAAGAGGGCTGAGATGAGATCCTCCACCTGGGAGATCTGAGACAGCTTCATGGAGGAGGCTGCATTGGAGCTTTGGGGATTCTCTGGCTCTTTTAGAAGTCCAAGGACTATG
Source organism: Homo sapiens (assembly GCF_000001405.40). Taxonomy (NCBI): domain Eukaryota; kingdom Metazoa; phylum Chordata; class Mammalia; order Primates; family Hominidae; genus Homo; species Homo sapiens. Next base: position 78,720,807 of record NC_000010.11, read on the forward strand.
TATTCATTCTCAGTGGGGAGCAGAATTCCACAACTGTTCATGTACATTATTCAAATGTCAAAAAACTTGGGAAACACAGAAGTAATTGGTAGGTTTCTAGTTGAGCTTGGAATGGGAGTATGTGATTGCTGGGAGGGGGTCTTGGGTGTAGACAGGTGCAGGCTAGGGCAGAGTTTGGTGGTATAGCCCCTCTCTCTCCCTACCAGAGCATATCTCTCAGAGATCATGATATTTGTCAAGGATGAGGTCAATGTCTTTTCTCTGGGCAGTCCTGATGGGGACCAACACAGGCTTTCTACCTTCCTTTTATATACACAGGCTTACACGTGCCCACACCATGCCCACATCACATCCTTCACAGCAAGAGAAAAGAGGGCAGCCTGATACTTCTTGGCCTCAATATGCAAATTTATAGCTTGGGGACTTAGTAGTCCTGGCTCTGCAGCTTCAGGGAGAAAGTCTGGGATAATCATCAGAGACCATACATAGGGAAGGCAGATGTGGGATTTCTCGTGCCCCTCTGGGATGAGGGTACTTGTCCTAACACAGTTTTTTATGAATATCCTAGTGTGTTTGTGGTGTATTTCACCCCCCAAGCAACCTCATCATTCCTCAGAGGTGAGCCATGATCTGGAAGAAGAAGTACTGGCTTTGAATCCAATCCCAGCTCATGTAAGTGTTACCAATTCCCTTGCTTTGTGACATCTCTGAACTTCAGTATCTTCATCTGCAAAATGACAACTCCCTGAAAGTACTGCTGTGCCTTCCAGAAATTAGCATTAAAAAATTTTGTCAACTGCCCCATCTTAGAAACCAAAGGAGATGATCAAAACTGGCGTGGGGGAGAAGGGAGTGGAGAAAATGGAAACCAACAAAATAGAAAAATAAGTACCCAGTTAGCCCAATTAAGAAAAATAATAAAGACAAAACAGTACTCAAAATTAGGATTGGGAAAGGGAATATGACCATTGGTATCATATGGAAGATGTTATAAGACTAATATAAAACTATATATACCAACAATGTAAAAAATTTGAAGTCAAAATCAAATGCACAATTTTCTATGAAAATATAAGTTGTTAAAATTAACTTTAAAAAATAAAAATTTTATCAGACAAAAGTCTGGAATAATTTGGGGGGAAAATTCATGAATCACAGCTCTAAACAATTTTCATCTTTTTAAAAAAGCAAAAGGCTCAAATAGTTTTATATAGAGTATTTCTTCCTTCAAAATTTCAGAGAATAAGTAATTTTCAAGCTATATAAACTATTACAGGATATTTAAAAAAAGATGAAACCCAATTCTTTTTTCAAATTAGAGTATGATTAATAACCATTGGTATAGTTTGGACCTGTGTCCCCACCCAAATCTCATGTTGAAATGTAATCCTCAATGTTGGAAGTGAGGCTGGGTAGAAGGTGATTGAATCACAGGGGCAGATTTCTCATGAATGATTTAGTACCATCCCCTTGTACTGTCCTCAAGATACTGAGTTAGTTCTGAGGAGATCTGGTCGTTTAAAGGTGTGTAGCACCTCCCTTCCACCCACAGCCTTGCTCCTGCTTTCACTATGGAAAGTGCCTGCTCCTGCTTTGCCATTGCCATGAGCAAAACCTCCCTGAGGCCTCCCCAGAAGCACAGGCTGCCATGTTTTCTGTACAGCCTGTGGAGCCGTGAACCAATTAAATCTCTTTTCTTGTAAATTACACAGTCTCTGCTACTTTGTTAGAGCAATGCAAGAATGGCCTAACCCAACCATGTTTGAAAAAATCATAAATAAAAGATAAATCGGCCGGGCACAGTGGCTCACTCCTGTAATCCCAGCACTTTGGGAGGCTAAGGCGGGCAGATCACTTGAGGTCAGGAGTTCGAGACCAGCCTGGCCAACATGGTGAAACCCCTTCTCAACTAAAAATATTTTAAAAATTAACTGGGCATGGTGGTGGGTGCCTGTAATCCCAGCTACTCAGGAGGCTGAGGCAGGAGAATCACTTGAACCCGGGAGGCAGAGGTTGCAGTGAGCCGAGATCATGCCACTGCACTACAGTCTGGGCAACAAGAGTGAAACTCTGTCTCAAAAAAAAAAAAAAAAAAAGATAAATCTGTAGGATAATATCATCAGTGAATTTACATTTAAAAATGCTAAATAAATATGTATGTATTTCAGATTTCAGAAATATATTAAAAATCATGGAGTATGATTAAGTAGGGTGTAATCTGGTAATGCTAGGTTTGAAATCTATTAACATAATTTATCGAGTTAAAAATAATAAGAGAAAACATGATTGTACATTTGCAGTCCTATTAAAATATATTTACATAAGACATTCCAAAAAGAAAAATTGTTAAACTGGACTTCACGATAAAAAACTTTTGCCCTTCTAAATACCATTGAGAAAATAATATGATCCACAGACTAGGAGAAAATATTTGCAAGTCACATATCTGATAAAGGACATGTATACAGAGTATAAGAAAAATTCTTACAACTTAATAAGAAGGTAAACAGCATAGTTTTTAAAAAGGCAAAATATTTTAACAGACCCCTGACCAATGTAGATATATGAACTGTCAATAATCATATGAAAATAGGCTCCCATCATTAGTATTAAGAATATATAAATTTAAATTAAAAGATATCACTACACGCCTGGCTCTAATCAAAAGGACTGACAATGCCAAATGTTGGAAAGAATGTGGAGAAACTGGAACCCTCATCCATCGCTGTGGGAATATAAAATAGTACAGCCACTTGGGAAAACAGTTTGACAGTTTCCTAAACATGCATCTGACATGCAAACCAACAATTCTGTGCTTAGCCATCTACCTAACTGGGATGAAAACATATGTTCACATAAAGACTTGTCCAAGAATGTTCACCACAGTATTATTCATAATAGCTCAAAACTGGAAACAACCCAAACGTCCATCAACTAGTGAATGGATAAACGGGTACACTCATTCAGCGGAATACTTTTCAACAATGAAAAAGGAATGGATTACTGATACATGCAACAACATGGTGACCCTCAGAAACTTCAGATGCCAGATACAAAAGTCTCTATGTCTTATGATTCCACTTATCTGTAATTTCTAGAAAAGGGACCAAAAGAGACAGAAAGCAGGTCCGTGTTTGCCTGGGGCTGGGTGTGGGAGCTGAGACTGACTACAGAGGGACAAACAGAGAAAGTTCAGAGGTGATAGAAGTGTTCTAAAACTTGACTGTGGTGAGAAGTTACCAGCTGTGTAAGTTTACTAAAACTATCCAACTGTACCCTTAAAATGGGTGGATTTTATAGTATGTAAATTATACCTCCAAATGCTATTTTTAAGTGTTTCTGAAAGGTTACTGTAGTAGTCTGTTTTGTGCTTCTATCAAGGCATACCTGAACTTGGCTAATGTGTTAGGTTGGTTCAAAAGTAATTGCATGGCCCTGGCGTCTGCTTCTGGGCAGGATCTCAGGAAGCTTTCACTCTTGGTGGAAGATGAAGTGGAAGCAGGCGTGCCACATGACGAGAGACGGACAAGAGAGGGAAGGGAGGAGGTGCCAGGCTCCTTTTAACAATCAGATCTCGATATCATATGAACAAACAGAGTGAGAACTCACACATTACCATGGGAGGGCACTGAGCCACTCATGAGGGATCCACCACCGTGGATCCCTCCAGGGAAACACCCCCCGCCAGATCCCACCTCCAACACTGGAGATCACATTTCAACGTGAGATCTGCAGGGCACAAATATCCAAACTATAGCAGATCTATAGCATGCAGATAAGTTGTTTTCTTTAATCCTAAAATGATTTGTTTATTTTGTTGTTGGGTTGTTCATACTTTTTCCTCTCAGTGAGCATATACAATTGTAACATTTTTTTTTAAGTTCGCCCAAAGAGAACACCATGAGAATGACAGGAGATACAGTTCCTCAAACAATTTCTGCCATGGGGTAGAGTGGATGCTTGATAAAGAGAATGTTCCCTGTTTATACAAAAATCCCCTTCATTCCAGGCACCACTATAGCTTTCTGATCCACCCTAGACACGCCAGGGCAGCATTAGAGGCTGTAGCCCACCTGAGTGACTGACAGATGCTTATGCCTTCAGAGGGATGCTCTTTCCTCACCACCCACCATCTCATCTGCAGGATCCTTTATGACTGCTCTTAACAGGCTAGCCTGCCAAAGATGCTCCCTTCCCCAGTGATTCCTGGGCTCCTACCACCCATTCCCCGGCCGCAGTCGTAACAAGCTACTGTGATAGCAGAATTGTTTGCCTCAGAAAAAAAAAACAAAACAAAACTATAATGTCACAACAAACAGAAGCTCATGGGTTTGGCAGGTAGAGTGCAGGCTGTGCAGCAGCAAACTAGATGGAGGAGAGGTTGCTGGGATCTTCTGTCACAAACACCCCTGGGGATGGGGTAGAGGATCAGAACCAGGGACACTTAAGTTTTGCTGGTAGCAAATCCTAAAGTACGGGCTCTGGGATTGATCAGTCAACCTTGCCACTTACTTGAGCAGGAGCTGAGCCTTTCTGAGCCTCTGTTTCTCAGTTGCCTTCCAAACCTTTTGTGAAAACCATTTTAGAAGACAAGAAAGTCTGTTGTAGCATGCTGCTCAGATTTTTAGTGACAATACTTGCTCTAACTCTTCCTGGGAGTGTGGTGAACTCTGGGAATCAGATTATAGCTCAGGTTGGGCATAACCCTCCAACGATGGGAATTGTCCCAAACGATGGGGTCTCCAATGATGTAGTGTATTTGAAGTCACTGGGGGGAATGATTGGGGGTCAGGGTAGGTAAAGTCCAACAAGAGCGTTCTAGCCAAAGGGAATATTACCAAAACCCTGTCATTGTGGGAGGGTGGAATATTAGGGACTAGACTTAATCTTCTGCTGTAAACAACTAGGAAAATGGAACAAATATATGAAACAACACTTTCTAGGATGAGACAAGGGCACTGATTCCTGAGAGTAGGGCAGGGGAGAAGTGAATCCCACAATTATCCAGGCCTTCTGGCTGTGAGCCCCTCGCTTTCTGCCTAGAGATGAGTTCCAGATCAGAGGCACAGGAGGAAGTCAGACTTCATAGCCTCACTGAATTGAAGAGACAGAAATGGAAGTTCAGGAAGGCTGAAATGGCTGGAAGTTGCAGGACATATTTCCAGAAGAGAAGAACTAACTCAAAAAAAGCTCCAGAAATCTGCAGAGCTATCCCCTTGATGTGTACTAGGCCTGCTTGCATAGAATGAAATGCCACAAAACCAGGCAAACAACCAATGGGGAGTCGTAAACCACACAACTCCCAGAGTTCACACAGGGCAGAGAGACATTGGAAGTCTGGCAAGGAGAATGGAGAGTCCTCAGTGATCACCTGGGGCATTCAGTGGGGCCTCAGAGGAATTGCACCTAAACATTCAGCCTAAACCATCCCAACAGTGAGGGTGACTCCAGACCTGCCCTGGCAACTCCCAGAAACAGGCTGGAAGCAATCTAATAATCCACAAGCAGCTCAACTGCTTTCCGGAACAAAATCCAGACACTCAGCAGCACACAAGTCACCATGTCCATCATCCACTACCAATTACCAGACATACCAAGAAGCAGGAAAGTGCGGACTATAACCAGAAGGAAAATCTGTCAAAAGAAAGAGATGAGAAATAGCAGAGATGATGGAGCCAGCAGACGAGGACTCTGAAACAGCTATTGTGTTCAACCATCTAAAGGAAAACAGGGACACAAGAAAGACAAAAGTAGGAGAAATCAAGAAGAAGACTCCAAAGATAAAAATTGCTCTATCTGAAATGAGTATTTCACTAGATTAAATTAACAATGGATTAGATCCTACCAGGAAAAGGCTCAGTAAACTTAAAGACTTAGAGAATAAATTTATCCTAAGGGAAGTGCAGATACTGAAAAACCAGCAGAGCCTCAGTAAGCTATGGGACAATACCAAACAGCCAAACATAAGCATGAAAGGGAGAGAGGCAAAAAAAAAAATGCATAAAATAATGGCTGAACATTTCCAAATTTGATGAAATGTATAAGCTCACATACCCAAAAAGGTCAATGAACCCCAGGAAGGATAAACACAAAGGAAACCAAGCCACAACGCATTACAAACAAATTGCTGAAACCAATGATAAAGAAAAAAATGATAAAGCAGTCAAAGGGGGTAAAAAGATAATTTATAGAGAGAGGGACAAAAGCTTGAAATCATTCTGAAAGGCCTGGGAAGCAGTTTCCAGAGAAAAGATTGAGGGTTGGGCAAAACCCAATCATACTGGCCAGATGGAGGGGCTTGGACTTGATTCAAAGGGTGGTAGGGGGCAGGAGGGCTTTAGATGGGGGCTGGGGAGTGCTGTCTTCAGATCTGTGTGGAGGGAGGTGCACTCCAGCCTCAGTGTGAAAAACTGTCGGAAAGCCCAGGCAAGGCACCCATGGAATGGGGCAGTGACAGAGAGGACAGCACAAGTGCACCAACCAAGAGGTATTTAGGAAGTGGGGTCCTCTGGACTTGGGGTGGACAACAGACAGCAGGAGGAAGCATTGCCTCTGGCTGGGCCGTAAGCAATGGGTGGACATGGCACCATGGAGACAGGAACACAGGGATGATAGAGTTGGGGAGAGAATGAGTTCAGTGCCGGACAGCTCCCATTGAATGTGCTGTGGTGCAGGTCCTGCAGAAGTGTCTGGTGGGCTCATAGATGTGCACTTGGCAAAGATGGCAGAGACCAGGGCTTCTCCAATGGAAGTGCATTCAACTCACCCTGCCACCTGGAGACCTTGTTAGGAAACAGACTCCAATTTAGTCTGTCTCTTGTAGGACAGGATCTGCATTTCTCTAAGGGGCTCCCATGATGTTGATGGTTGATATACCACAGTTACAGGAGCAAAGGTAGAGCACACACCACACAGAAGAGGTATTTTGTTGTTAATATTTCTCTTGTTCTCACCCCCACTCTGTATTTCCAGAGGCAGAGATGTTCTCTCTCTCTAAAGAAAGCAAAAAACAAAAACAAAATCTCTATCCTCTCTATCAGCCACCACCCACCCTCCCCCTCCAAACAGACAAGTGTCAGGCAACTGGCTGCTTTCCAAATTTCCCTGCCTGGCTCACCCGCTCTTAAAATACCCTCAGTCATAGATGCTTCTAGAATGTGAGCTGACCTGGAACACTGCGTCAAGGGCAGCAAAGCTTTCAAGCAGTTTCCTGGAACAAAAAAAAGAGAGAGAGAGGAGTGTCTCTGAAAATTAGACTTAGCATATCGCACAAGGGGCAAAGAATAGAGAGACTGGATTTGTTGGAAAGAATGCCAGCTGCCTGCCTAATGCACCTCGCTGCATCTCAGTCTTTTCGCCCATAAAACAGAGGCCATGGCACCCACCTTGCAAAGTGCTTGTGAGGAGGAAGCAAGATTTCACATGTGAACTGGTGTCTCTTCAGAATGGCCTGGCCTCAGGGTCAGCTGCACCTGGGCTCCAACCCTGGTCCCATCGCCTATTATAGAAGCAGTTCTTAAACATCTGTATAAACTTCTCTGGGCCACTTATCAAATAAGGATAGCAAAAGTCACCACACAGGGGTGTGACAATGACAAAATGAGTCCAGTCCACAAGGTACCTAGCACAACATCTACACATAACAGGAGCACAATTTGTGCTAGTTGCTTCCTCCACCTTCCTCTGCTGGAGACAATTTGTTAAGAATTCACAAAGACCCCTGTTTATCCCTCCCGTTATTTTTAACATTGCATAAATTGCTTGCCATTCTCTCTTCTCTCTCTCCCATTCCCCCTTTGACAGGCTTCCCACAATCCCACCTACATGAGGCTGAGAAATTCAAAAGGAAAAATAACCTTTGGTGTAGATTAGCAGATGATAACACAATGCCAAGTCATTTTCTCATCAGGCATTCCTGATGGCATCGGTGCTGTGGCTGGCTGCCCCTGCCTATCACCCTTCTCTGTGTCAAGGCACATCTCCCACCCTGGTGCCCAATTAAACTATCCAGTTTCCAGAGTCCACTCACTGGGACCCCTCAGAGCCCAAGGCAAAAAATGTGCCCAGTTTGTGAAAAAGGAAATCAAAGCACAACTACAAAATGCTAGACGGTCTCCAGAACCAAAGGTGACTTAAGAGCTCTGAGCTTCCAGCCAAATTAGCCACTGGATCCACAGGCAGGAAGATCCTTAAAAGACTTCAAATGGGCATGTCCCAAGCTAGATACTGCCTGCCTCAGTGGCTGCATCACTGCAGAACGGGTTTCTAGTTCCCCCACTGGCCCTAGTTTAGATAGTAAGAGATCTTCCTTGGACACAGCCCTCGGGTTGATTCAGATGGGTGGAAGGCAGGGAGGGCCAGGAGAAAGCCAGGTCCAGAGACCAAGATGTGGGCTGCTGAGCCCGTGCCCGCAATATTGGCTGCTGCCCCACTATGGAGGATGGGAGGGGGGATGAGAGGTCTTGGAGATAGGGATCCCATGGATGACAAAGGTGCTTCAAACACCCCTGCAGGAATAAGTCACCTGGGTTTAGATGCAAAGGAGGCCAGGCATGAAGGGTGGCTTTAGACAAGGCATTGAGCTGCTCTGCACCTTGGATTCCCTTCTGAGAAAGTGGCCAGTCACCATTATGAGCACTACTGATCTGAACTGCAGAGAGAGAGAGAGAGGTCCCTGGGCTAGTGAGCAGTGACCGGGTTATGCTTATGTGCTTGAGTGAGCAGGAACACAAAACAGGGCACTGCCTCCCAGCGGCAACCTCCACTGACATGTTGGACAAGACGTTCAACCCCTTCCCCGAGGCCAAAATGACACTTGTCCTCCAAAACCAGCCCCTTCTCAGTATGGAAACCTCCCCATGGGGTCACAAGATGGGTAAATGGCACATGATTGAAACGCTTGGGTTCTTCGTCCCGGGAGGCAGTCATGTCCTCCTCCTGATTTTTGGCACTTTGCGACCTCAGCCCATAAGGACTCTTTGGTGACTCTTCAGTGAGTCCATATGGGCTGAAGCTTTACTAAAGAGCTTAGCCTCGAGTCCTTCTCCTTCATCCAGCATTAACAGGTAGAAATATCTAGAACTGTATAAATTGTACAAATTACCAGGAAAGAGAGAAGTGGCATTTGTGGTCTTTGAGTGTCTAGCAGTCCCTCCCCTTCCCTAGCCATGCCCTGATATCTTTTTATTTTTAGTGTAACTGCCATAGAGAAAAGTGAGCAAAGTCACGAATGAGCACAAAGTGTCCCTCCTATGTAAACACCACCCAGGTCTCAACTTAAAAAAAAACAGCTTTATTGAAATACAATTCACAAGCCATATAATTCACCCATTTAAAGTGTAGAATTCAATGCTTTTCAGTAAATTCAGACTACTGCAATCACCACTACAATCAATTTTGGAATATTTTCATCACCCTAAAAAGAAACTCCAAACCATTTAGCTCTTACTTCCTCAATCACCTTCATCCATTCTGGCCTAGAAAACCACTAATCCACTTTCTGTCTCATGGATTTGCCTATTCTGGATATTTTATAGAAATGGAATCACACCATATATGGTCTTCTGTGTCTGACTTCTTCCATTTAGTAGAATGTGTTCTGTGTTCATCCATGTTGTTCATCCATGTTGTAGCATATATCAGTCCTTCATTCCTTTTTAAGGCTAAGTAGTATTCCATCATGTGGATGCACATTTTATTTGTCCGTTTGTCAGTTAAGGGACTTCTGGGTTGCTTGCACTTTAGGGCTCTTGTGGATTATCCTGCTAGGAACATTTGTGTACAAGTTTCTACCTGGACATATGTCTTCATTTATCTTGGGTATGTACCTAAGAATGGAGTTGCTGAGACAGATGGTCACTTTGTGTTTAAGTTTTTGCCAAGTCAGATGGTAACTTTGTGTTTAAGATTTTGCCAATTTCCTTTTGAGGAACTAGTTCTTTTCTACCAGATAGAGTCTCACAGGGCGGGTACAGATCCAAATCAAGCCCACCTTTCTTGGTTCTGGCCAATTTCCCAGTCTGCATCCCTAGCTTTTCTATTGATCCTGAGAGTCCTAAATATCCTTCCACAAATTCCTCGTCGGCGAGGTTAACCGGGGCTGCTTTCTGGGGCTTGCGTTCAAAGCAACCTGTCTGATGAAGCTTCTCACTCAGAGCCTGTGGACTGTCGGTGGGCAGCTCTGATTAGAGGGTGCTGCGGCACAGCAGGCAGGCCTGACATCACACAGGGCAGGGTGGCTGTGGTACTGGATTGCCAAGGTTTAGAGAAGGAATCCAGAACAATCTGCCAGATCCAACAGGGGACACCTTAGTAAAAAGCCTTGTGGGGGCTGCAAAGTTCTGTATCTGACCCCGGGGGTCCTCTATCACATCCCCTTGGCACACCTTCGATTTCAGCTTCTTGGACAGTTCTGCGCATGCTCAGACTCACCCTGCGCTGTAAGCATCTCCCCTCCAGCACAGCCAAGCAACTCTCCCTAGCCTGTCCCTTAACCTCCCCAAGCACTGTAAGGGATCACTCATCGAGGTATAGGGAGTTTGGGGCCCAGAGTTAGTGCATAAATGTCCCAGGCTCTCAGACAATTCAGAGGAGTCTCCTGTGCTTCCAAGAAGTCCTAGTGAAACTGAGCTCTACTGTCTATGGCAGTGGCCTCATTTGAGTGCCCTGATATTGGCTTTCTCCTTTCGTAATGTACTTCCCTGCTTCTCAAGATCACTTCCTAAATAAACCACTGACACTCAAATCTTTGTGCCAGCATCCACCATTTGAAGAATCCAAACTAAAACAATATGCAAGAGCTCTTTAAGAAACAGTATGGCTCCACAGTACACACAGGAGACAAGAATGCTGGGCTAGGAGTCAGGATCCTGGGGCCCAAACTCTGGCTCCATGGGGCTCAAGCAGACCCTAAGATCCCTGTAAAACATTCTCCTTGGAGAAGTAGTCAGTGACGGCTTCTGCTCCCCATAAAGTTCTGAGTCTTAAGAGACGGTGTCCCTGACCCTGCCTTGGGCATTGCAGTGTCTTCTTGGGTCTTAGGTCTCAGCTATCACTCTGCAGCCAGACACCTCTGCATCTTGCCAAGGACTCCAGCTGCTTAACCCATTTCCAGAACCTGTGGCTCTGCAGGAAGACAGGGCTAAAGCTGTGGTGGCTTGCTGTAACCATTTCGAGTCCTCACTGAGGTCATTCTTTGCAAAGGCCATTTGCAGCCCTGAGCAGTGGCCATACTCCACAAACCAGCCCCCTAGATATTCATATCATTCCACTCAGTAAACCCCACCTCCAGACCTGGCTCATTTTCAGATAATGGGACAGGGTTCCTGCATATGATAAACTGGCCTTATCATAGTCCAAAAGTTTTGAAAGCACTAGATTCCAAGCCTACCTCTGCCTCATTCATTCATTCATTTGTTCATTCAATTATGGCATTTATTTAAACCTAGCCGCTTTCAGCCCCTGCATGGGGCCAGGGTACATAGCAAAGAATAACAGATTCTGCTCAAAAGGAGTTAGTCTTGGGGCAAGGCTAACTTGGGAATTGCAGTACAGGGTGGCGAGTGAAGGGAGGGGTAGGGAGGAGTGGGCAACAGAGGGGACTGAAGAGGTGCAATGTAGCAAACATTTCCATGCCTCACTCCGCATCTCCCTAGCCCATGGTGTGCTCCAGTCATTGCTGCAATCATCAGTTGCCCATGGATGTGGCCTGACAGCACCGAAGCCCAGCTGCACCATGTTCTGCTCCCTGTCCCAGAGCCTCTCTGCCACCACCGGGTGGATGGAGCCCCCAAAGGAGCCCACTCAGCCATGCTGGCACATCTGAAAGGTCAACATCCCCGGGCAGCCAGTTGCAGTGGCTCACGCCTGTAATCCCAACATTTTGGGAGGCTGGGGTGGGTGGAACACCTGAGGTCAGGAGTTCGAGACCAGCCTGACCAACATGGTGAAACGCCGTCTCTACTAAAAATACAAAAATTAGCTGGGAGTGGGGGAGGGCACCTGTAATCCCAGCTACTTGGGAGGCTGAGGCAGGAGAATCGCTTGAACCCGGGAGGCAGAGGTTGCAGTGAGCCGAGATCACACCACTGCACTCCAGCCTGGGCAACAAAGCAAGACTCTTATCTAACAAAAAAAAAAAAAAAAAGCCATCCCCTTGGCAGCCATGGGCCAATGAAGGGGCCTGAAGGAACAGCTGGAGAAATGTTCCCATGTTTGTTATCTAGGATGTAAAAATTCTCAGGCACATTCCAGAAGGTTCTTCAGAGCGTCCCCAGTTGCTCGCAGCTGTAACTGGTTGGACAATACATTCTTGGACTGGCTTCTTCTCCTCTTCTTTCTGTTTCACTTTTTTCAGTCTGCCCACCGTGGGATCACTTCCCAAAATAAAATACCTGCATGAAAGCCATTGACCTAGGATCTAGTTGTGGGGCTGGGGTGGGAAGGGGAAAGTGGAACAAGCTAAGACAGGCAATTAACCCCATCTTAAGGTTGTCAGGAAGAATTCCTGGAGGAAGTGACTCCTGAAGCCTGTGTAGGGGTGGGCTAAGTGAAGAAGGAGGATGCCCAGGGCTTCCCAATCCCAGCCAAGGGTCAGACACCAAGAGCAAAGCCATAGCTGTGACAGACAACACTGTGTCTCCTGTGACCTGTGCACGGTTCACCCAGGTGTGGGGGGCCGTGGTGAGAGGTAACACTGGAGAAAAGGGCATGACTAGGTCTTGAGGACCTTGAGTGCACGCCGTGGATATTATTGTGGAAGCAAAGGGGAACCATGGAAATAATCATAAAAAGTCACAGCCTCCCCATACAAGACATGCATCTGTGTCTGCCTTATACAGCACTAACTAAGCGCCATGCACCATTTAAAGTACTACAATCCTCATGGAAGCTAGCTAAGGGGCTACTAGTGTCTTCCTCATATCTAGATGAGGAAACTGAGGCACAGGTAGATGAGATCACCTGCTTGTAGACACGCTGCTAATAAGTGGTGGAGATAGGCTGCTCTCAGCCCTGCAACTGCACTGTCTCACTCAGCCACAGAGGGACAGAGAGTTTTGTGCCTCTCTCCTCTCACTCTGTGCTCCTTTCCTGGGTAAGAGCTCCTCCACTCAGGGCAATTTTGCCTTCAGGGAATGGTTAACAAACTCTGGAGACATTTTTGGTCACAACTAGGGGAGGAGAGTGCTGCTGGCATCTAGTGGGTAGAGGCCAGGGATGCTGCTCAACATCTTACCATGCACAGGACAGCCCCCATGGCCAAGAATTATCCAGCCCCCAATGCCAATCATGCTGAGGCTGACAAACCCTGCTCTGGGGAATGCATTGGCACCCAAGCTCCCCTTCCTGTCTATCTCCTCTTCCACTGGCTGAGAACTGGGTGATGATGAAAGCTACAGACCAGGGGAAAGAGAAGAGGAGGAGGCAGGAGGTAGCTTACTGGCCAGAGGAGATGGCACCCCACATTGTGGGACTTGATGCTTTCACAATACTGGTGGTGGTCACGGCAGGGTACGTCCTCTGTTAATGAGTTAACCTCTCTTAATGAACCAACACGAGGGGTGGGTTAATGAACGCAAGATTTCTATGCTGGTACTGTGTAGGTGGCAGGTGGGAGAGAGGTCTGGGACACCAAAACATTGAGTGGAACAGGACATTTTGAATTTTTGGAAACAGAACTTGAGTGGAAATTCCACCATGGGGCCTTCAGAAATAGAAAACCCAGAGCCAGAAGGCTAGATCCCAGTGCAGACTTCCAGCTCGAGGAACAAAAAAACCTCCAATTGACTTTTTGTGAAGCTGACATTTTTGACATTTACAGCAAGGCAAAGACAACCAACCAGAGCCTGGGGTGGGTACTGTAGAGTATTAGACCAGGCAAAGTGAAAAGGGGTCAGTGGGGTTAAGGTCATGCCCTCAGCTGACAAGGAAGCTGCATGAGCCCTGCCATTTCTCCTGCAAGTGCCCTGAAATTTTTCTTCTGCTAATTCTTATTACATAGGGGGGAAAATATGATGGGTTCCTGGAGAACCCATCTTGGGAGTGAGTACCTGCACCCCACTCTGTGGCTGTTCCTGGTGTGACCGGACTCTGAGATGAGCCTGCAAACCCCTGCCCCAGCCACCTGCACCACTCACCTCCACGGCAGCAGGGTGGGGGGGTGGTCCTGGCAGCCACGGGGCCAGCACTCGCTGGCCCTCATATTCACAGTCCCAGAGCCCCAGTTCTTATCAACAAATCCATGATCCTATGGCCTGTCTTCATTGCCCATAAGCCACCCAAATATCCTGAACATCCCACCATAGCGACATCATCTCTCAGACTTCCATGCATTCCCAGAAATGGCTCCAAGTCAGACCACACAGGCTACTTTTTGTTACTACATTGACACTGGTTCCTGTAATCCCTGTGGTCCAGTGGTCTAGCCATAGGGCTCCCCAGGCCTCGAGGTTCATGCTAACGGAAAGCTTGTCTACTCAGGAACCTCTGTGAGACCTGTTGGGAGTCAGCCTAGAGTTAAGCTCCTCTTATACTGGCTCTGCTCCTTTCCATGCTAAGCCCATCTTTGCCCTTCTCCCACAACTTGCTCAGGGTGGACCTGCAAATAAGACTGGTGCACATCCAAGATGCTGACTTGGGTGTGGTCCAGGTGAGCAGGCTCACCATGATAAAAAAAGCCACATCTCTACCTGGCCTCTCTCTTGTACCTCTTGCTGCAGGCTGAAAGAGGCTGTGGCCCCTTGGGATTGGTCACTTCTTTCTCAAGCATCCTGTTTTCTGCATCCTCGGGTCTGGCCTGAACTTGCGTGTGCCTCTCCTGTGGCCATCTCTCCTCCTGTAGCGATGGCAGTGTGCTGATTAGCCAAGTATCAGACATGTAACTAATGGCCCCTTCATAGATAGTTTATTTCTTTCTTGTATTACAGCTGGAATATAGGAAGTCTGGAGATCTTACAGGGGGTTTCCTTCCATCAAGGCTCTTTCAATCTTTTCATTTCACCATGCATGGCCGCTACTCCTAAGACAACCTCAAGGTCCCACGGTCCCATATGGCTGCTACAGCACCAGCCATCATGCCTGAATACCAGGTTGCAGGAGGGAAGGAGAGCTGAAGAGGGAGCAAAGGGTATGAGTCCAGTGTCTTTTAAAGAAGGTACTAGAGGTGGTCACTTCCATTTGCATGTCGTTGACAAGAACTTAGTCAAGCATCAAAGGAAGCTGTGAAATGTGATCTTTCATTTGGGCGGGCAGATAACAATTAGGGTTGTATTAGCAAGGAAACAAAGGAGAAACAGTATTAGGAGACAAATAACAGCCTCTGATATAGTGGGCAGCTTGAGCCAGGGTCTGCCCCCACGGAGCCTGCCAACTTTCTCCCTATGCACAGCTGAGTACATATTAGCACCAAAATTTGACTTCCAAGGTGAGGGAAGTAGGAGGTCTCACTGAGGTCTCCTTGCCTAAGCTCTTTGTTCCCAACAGCCTTTCCTTTTCTGAGGTTCCAGATGCTGCTCCATCACCAACCAGGAGAAATGGCTCAACCACTCCCAGCCCTAGCTTGCACACCTGAAGTGGAAGAGTAAGCTACTGTGTTCACCTGGTCATTGGGAGAGGCTTGGAGGTCAGCGTTTGTAACACTAGGATATGGTGGCATTTTCGCATTTTTTCCCTCCTCCTCAATGCCGCTGAGACCAGCCTTCATCCCCTTCATGATGAAGTTTCATGACTGTTTATCTAAAGGTAAAGGCCCTGCATGTGCCAGAACTATTGCTTAGACTCTCAAGCAGGGACACTGGGACCCCCTTCTCCTCCTCACCTCATGGAAGGAGGCTTTAACATGCAAGATCTATGAAAGTATCCAGCTCTTGGTGTAAGTAAAACAAAACAGATCATCCCACTCATGGTAGGACGCTTTGCAGGTAATTGCCAACCCTGGAAATTCACACCCACCCATCAACATTCAGCACAAATGTCCTCTCCCTCCCCTTCTCCCTTGCTTGAACTAGTTAGAACTCCCACTTCCTCTGATGGCATTTTGTACATTCATTTATTCCAGCACTTGCCTCACTGTTTGTGGACAGCTCTTCAATTTATCTAACCACCCATTTATCCATCCATCCATCCATCCAATCAGCAAGTATTTACTAAGCACCAGATACTACTGGGGAGACAGAGTCAAACAAGGGCACTGTCTTGACTTCCATGGACCCCCACCCCAGCCCATAGAAAGCAACATCCATGAGGTGGAGGCATTTCAAGGAAGAAGAATGGGCTTGCCAAGAGGGGCACTGACCTCAGTCTTCTGAGTGCACTGGGAAGATCCTCCAGGGCAGCTGGGCTTCCGGCTCCAAGAGCCTAGCCATGAGGCAAGCAGGGGAGATGGGCCTGCCCAGGGAGAGAGTGGCAGGAGTGGACATATGGGAGGACATATGGTGTGGCACAAGGCAGCTGCTTCATACACAGTCATCATCACTGAGTGGAACGGTGAGTTCAATAGGGTGATAACAGTAATATCACGTATTATTGAGAAAAAGTATTGATTACATGCCAGGCACTGTAATACATGCCATGAACCATTGTTTCACTGAATCCTCTGAACAGTCTTGTGAGAAGAGAACTGTTATCTCTGCTTTACAGATGAGGAAACAGTTTAGCACTTTTGAGGAATGTGTCAGGGCCACACAGCTAGTGAAAGGCAGATCTCAGCCCAGAAGCTACTGACTCTGCAGCCCTTGCTGTCACTCCTGGGCTGCACCCCCAACCACCAAGGAGTCCATCATGGAGAGGAGGGAGAGTGGGGGAAAAGGGGCAGTCAGCCTTACGTTGCACCAAGCCCAAGGCAAAGGGGAGCCTCTGAAGGCCACTGAGCAGAAGGATCACATCTCACTCTTAACCTGGACTGGGAGCTCTTAGGTGGCGCAGTCTGAGTGTCATTCGTCGTTAGGCCCTCGACACCCAGCACACTGCCTAGTACACAGAGTGTTTGCTGCAGCATGGCTGAAAAAAAAACCAGTCCTTCAATGAATGAACAAACCAACATGGTGTTGCCAAACTTCAGAATCAAAGAATATCTGCTAGGATTCGATTTAGCAGTATATGACAGAAAACCCATAATCGTGGCTTAAATAAGATGGCAGTTTATTTGCTCTTTTGCAAAGAGGTCCATAGACATGCAGCCCAGGATTGGCATAGTGTTTCCATAGGCTCTGGGACTAATTCTATAATTTCACTGCCCAATCATTTCAGCACATGGCTCCTATTATGTAGGTCACCTCAAGACCTAAAACAGGTGCTGGAGCTCCAGTCATCACATCTCCATTCCAGGTAGTAAAAAGTAGAAAAGTTAGAAAAGTAAGGAGTAAGGTCTTCACCATCCATTTTAAAAAGACTTCCCAAAGTTATCACTCAACTTCTGCTTATATCTCATTGGCCAGAACCTAGTCACTTATTCCCCTTCTGGTCCCCAAAGAAGCTGAGAGTAATAGTCCTTTTATCGTGGCCATTGCTGCCCTACATACATGTTGTTATTAAGGAGGAGAAGGAGGATGCATGTTGTGGAAGGCAATCTGCAACCTTTGCCTCTAGAAGTGAATGACTTTGTGCAAACCTGCGCACACATGGAATCTCTTCCTGGTGAAGGAAATGCCCCTTCACCTCCTGGGGAAACAGTTATCTTAGGGAACTCCAGGAAGAGGAGGACTTGGCAGCTATTTGAGAAGATTACATCTGCCTGATAAAAGGTGCTGAACTCCCATGATTGCCTATGAGAACAGAAGATAGGAGCCCTTGGCTGTCTCCGGGCTGCTGTCCCCAGCTGTGGGGGCCCCCTTATCATTGCCAGAGGAGAGTCAGCTTGACAAGACCCATTAAAGGGACCCAGCTGGGATTCCACTGGCATTCTGGAGCTGGATGTTCAGAACCACCTGCCTTCAGACAGAGAAGTCCTGGGCCAGAGCATTCCTCCCTGGGCAACCACGTGCCCACTGGAGAGTTTTAAAGCTGATAGAAAGGGTGAGTCGATGGGCCATGCACACCAGCCAAGTTCAAAGGCACCTCCACAGTGGAATAAAGACATTGTGAAAAAGTCACAAAGAGACGCTAATTCTCTCTTACCTCATACCTAAAGCTGATGCAGCCTATGGAGCCGTGGCAGGAAGCCCCACAAGCCACTGAGCCAAGGCCTGTAGCTGGAGAAGGCATGCAGAGAACATGAAGTGGTGGCTGCAATGCTCTCAAAGGAATGGGGAGATGGGACCAGGGTCTGGACCTGGCTCGTTGATGGCACTGACTCTGCGTTTCCCTGGGGTAATGCCAAGAGAGCCATCGCAGGGCAGTCTCACTGCTGCTTTCTTCTTCTCCCTTGGCCACTGGTCCCCTACCATTTTGGCCAGTGGCCATGTTCTCTTTGTCTGGCAGGAAAACCACTGTACACTTAGAGTTTTGAACAGTCTTTCATTTGTTACCAATAGGGAGGCCAAGTAGGGCTTATTCTTGTGCCCATTTTGCAGATGATTGAGGTGAGAGAGTTAAGATATCTATCCAAACTCACCAGGCATGAAGCTGAAACTAGGCTCTGTCTGTCTAACATTTAAGGAGGAGGCTGTCAGTAAGACAAGTGGACTTGGGAGGAAGAACCCCTCTCCCAGCAAGGCCCACACTCATTGACCGCCATCTCCTAAATTTGAAACTCAGCTGACATGAATAATGAGATATAGTCAGCACCTGCTCCTCCCTGGTCTCAGGTGTTTCCCCAGCTTTCCTGCCTGGGGCTCGGGACTGGTGATACCCAGAGATGGACACCTGTGGAATCATGTGCATGGCCAGCTTTGTGGTCAGCTGGTGTGAGCCAGCACCAGCCTCTGTCCCTAGCCTCTCTGCCAGTAGCCAGGGGAATGATGGGATGACATCCATCTCTGTCCTGACAGGGCAGGTGAGGAGCAGAGGCAGATGGCAATAAAGGTCAGTGCTAATTCCCACATGCCTGCAACTGGATTGAGGAGGATGGGACCTTGCAGATCCCCACAGCCCACTGTACCAGCAGCAGCACAAACACAGCAGCCAAATCTCCACTATCAGCAACCTTGGGTTCTCAAGAGCCCTTTCAAATGCAAATATTTCTGTAAGAGGGAATCACCTGGAGTGCCAGAATCTTCAGTTTCCGCCTCTGTAAAATAGGTATGAAAACCTCTCCGACTCAGGGCAAGGAGGCTGAGAGGCTGCAGGAGAAATTGCCAGCACAGAGGCTGGACAGTCTGTAACCCTGAAATGTTTGGGTTCATGAATCTGTGAAATGAGCATGGCAGTTTTGGGGTCAGGGCAAGGAAGGGCACAGGACGCCTGAGGTAGGTGAGCTGCCAGTCCTCTGTGCAGGGCCATCCTGTCCCCATGCCCACCCCCAGTGCCCACCTGATACCCCCCAGCCAGTCTGTCCATGCAGGGTTCTAGACCAGGGGTCTCTTCTTTGGGGCTGTAGTTGTTGGGGTCAGGGGCTGGTGAGGAGATGGGGGAGGGACTAGCCAAAGAGCTGGGAATGGATGTGTGGGAGCAAGAAGGATGCTGCCCTGGAAAGGAGTCAGAGAGTGAGATCCAACTGGCCTGAGGCAGAAACCAACAAACCAGCCCCCTACCCAAGCACCAGCCTCCACCATCATCAATGTGGAAAAATGTGCTTTGGATTTTATAAAGCATTTCCACATATTTGATCTAATTTGATTTACTCTAAGGTATACATTATAATCCATTTTGCAGATGAGGAAAGTGAGGCTCAGAGAAGACCCCACAGCTGGTGAGGGATAAAGCAAAGCCAGGTCTCCTTCCACCCTGTGCTCTCTACTTGCAAACTACAATCTCTGGTTCCAGGAAACAACAGACCACACCTGTAAAGGGATTGTGGAGAAGAAAGGAGAAAAAGTCTACCAAAGGAGCTGGATACCACGTGTGTGTGTGTGTGTGTGTGTGTATTTGTGTGTGTGTGTGTATTTGTGTGTGTGAATGTGTGCATGTGTGTGAATGCATGTGTGCATTTTATGAGGTGGGGCAGGGAGTGCAAGAAGCAGTGATTAGCTTCAGCTAGAGATTTTATTACAAATGTATTTTGTGCTTCTGTGTCTTTCACATTCTGACAATGCTAATTTTGTAATTATATATATATTTATATATGTATATTTATATATATTTATCTATGTATTTTGTATATATATTTATATATGTATATTTATATATGTGTGTGTGTATATATATATATATATTTATATATATGTAATTTTAAATGAGGGAAAGCCACTGGGCTATGGAGAAATCCAGCATGGATTTGGAGTCTGGCAGCTTGGCTCCTAGCCCTGAATCTTTCCCTGCCCAGCTATGTGACCTTGGCCCTGTGGCCTCCCCGACTCTGGGCTTCCATTCTCTCATCTACAGCTTGAGCTTTGGGATGGAAGCACCTGCAGATCCTTTCTCCCCTGACCTAAGTGGTTTGTGAAAAGTCACTTCTAAGGAGAAAGCAGCTCAGGGATTCCCAGTCTGAAGCCCTAGATTCCAGATGTTCAAACCCACTCCCTTTCCCTTGAGGATCTAGAGTCAGGGCATGGTCACATTCATCCCTTCCCCACCACAGGAAAAGAGTGAGAAGAAGCAGGTCCCTGTGATTCTGACACATTGTTTCCATCTGCTGCTAACCTGTTATTAGCAGGATTTTCCTAAACCTCACCTCTATTTTCCAAAGTCACACACCCTGGGCATAGTGGTTTTCTTGTCCTCTTCCTTAGCTCTCCAGAACTCAGAACCTGGAGAGGAGAGAATACCACTCCAGTTTCTGATCAGAGCACTGCCTCTCCTAGCTGGTTCCTCATAGGTTACAGTTTGGAAGCCTCCCAGAGACGTCTGGAAGCGCTGATCCCTGCATTCGCTTTGGGGCTGTGTCTCTACTACTTCCAGATGTTTACACAGCTGGCTGGATTACTTAACTGCATTGACATCATACACCTTGATATTTCCTCTTTACAAAAACAGTTCAGATGGGAAAGAAACTGGCTATTGAGAATCTGTATACCGCAGAACTAACCAAAATAACATTCCACCTCTCCAGGAAGGCTATGGATGCATTCACTCACATGCGCTGCTCTTGCACAATTGCACAGGCCTCGGTTTCCCTCTCTATAAACTGAAAAGGTGGGTTTGGACAGTCCGAGAGTTCCTTTGGGTGCAGAGAATGTATCTGAAGTTGCCTTGGAGAGGCCATTTCCTTCCTTTTTACAGATTTGGAGACTGAATCCTAGAATGGGGAACTTACTTGATTCAACTGATAACTAATTATAGAGCACCTACCATGGTTAGGTAGTGGGGTAAGACTAGATAGACACAAAGGTGGAAATAAGACCATGCTGGTACATGGCTCCCTGTGTGCCAAGCACTGTGCTGAGCCCTTTCTGGCTAGCGTCAATTTTACACCTCATAACAGTTCCAGGAGTCTGTATATTTCTCTCAGCTTTATAGATAAAGAGACTGAAGCTTAGAGTTGATGATGAGTTCACCAAAGCTCACAAAATCTGCTGTATCCAGGAATTCCAACCTACATGTGACTGACTCCAGAACCTTCATCCTTAAACAGCACCCTATACTACTCCCCAAACATTTACTGCCCTCACGAACCTTCTAGTCCAAAATGAGACACAGTCAAGGAGAGAACTGACATTTACACCACCAGAATTAGGCAAATGCCACCACCAAGACCTGCACCAAGAGCTAAGAGGGCCCTGGCCATGTGGGATAAGCTCCCCAGAGAAAGGGGCATTTGGGCTGGGCCTTGAAGGCTGAGCAAGAGTCTGTTGGGCAGAGGGGACTTGCAGGAAGACACACAGTGTCTCTAGCTGACGACGGCGCTAGGTCCTGACGTTGTTCAGTGCTCCTCCTTGCCATCCCTGCTTTCACAGCCTTCTCATCTTAGGAAAGGCCCAGAGCGTTCTGGGTCTAGATGTCACTCTGCAGCCAAGGTGGCTTCCTGGCACAACCACTCCTTGACTATCAGCTCCGTAAGGCCAGGGTCAGGGCCTGTCTGTGTTTGTGCCCTTGCACCTGGCACAGAGCAGGGCACAGTCTGTATTTGCTGAACAAATAAACATTTAGTCTTTCAGGAATTGTTTCCCAAGCAGCAGCAGCAAAATAAACAAGGAACATTTGTTGAGTGTTATGCGCCAGGCAGTGTGCTAAGTCCTTTTCATGCATCATCTTATTTAATCCACCCAAAGCCACACTCTGAGCGAAGAACTATTATGTTCCCTCCTTGACACATGAGGTTAAATAACTTGTCCAAGGTCACACAGCTAGCAAGTGGTAGAGCCCGGATTCATGCCCAGGCCTGTGGAACTTCAAAGCCCATGCTCTTAACCCCTCTGCCACCAGCGTCTCTTTGTTGTGGCCTCAGCACCCCTCTTTGTTCCCCAGGGGGAAGGGCTGTTTTGCAAGCAGGCCTGAGATGCCACAAACCTTCCAGCACATCCTGCCCCTTGGCCTCTGACATCTGTTTGCCATTTCCCCTACTCCAGAGCGGCCAGGCCCTGCCTCCTGCCTTGCCGTAATTCAGATGTCAGGGAGGATGGAAGCCAGTGCCTGGTGTCTGAGCATCTGAACTGGCAGAGACTAAGGACAGCCTGGTGCACACTCACATTTGTTTTGTCAGCCTGCGGCATGGCATTTGTCAGAGGCAGGGACACACAGATGCCACCCATGCCTCCCCAGGCTTCTCACTGCACCCCACCAAACAGTCCCGTACCGCCTTCCCCTGGCACCCTGCAAGGTCACGGCTCTAAGGAAGGTGAGAGGAAGGGACACCCTAGCTCCCCCTCCTTCCCCCACCTCCTGCACTCCCCAGTATCCTCTTAATATCCGCTGCACACCTCCACCAGGATAGAATTCCTTTCTTTTTTGAGCAAGAACAGGGAAAGCTCTGAGAATTTTTGAAAACAGCATTTTTGTTTCAAAATATAATTTCCAAAACGTTGGCCCTGAGAGATGTCCTGCAAAAAAAAAAAAAAAAAGTGTTCCATGGTGCAGCAATTTTGGGAGATGTTGCATACTCTGCCCGGGTCTCACAGGTTCCCAGCGTACACTTCAATGATGCAGGCACTGAGAAGTCCTGCAGCATTTTCCAAATGTATCCTTCATCCTCAGAGCATGTGTTCCAGATGTAGAAACACTTTGCAAGGCTGGAGAGGAAACAGGTTCAAGTGGGAAACACATCCACCGAAAGGAACCCTCCATTCTCTGCAGATTTGTGTAGCAGGGAGCTGCCTCCTTACCTTACTGAATGCGCTCTGGGCTTCTCTCAGTGAGTGAGCCTCCGCACCCTGCCAGGAATTCCCTGACTCCAGAATGGACTTTTCCTGCGAGTCCATTCTGAGAATGATGCCAGTGTGGGACAGCTCCAGGAAGACCAGAATGGACTTTGCGTATGCAGAGTTACTTGGGACCACGTGAGCTCTGTGGCACTGAAGGTCCCAAGGCCAGATGGGCTGACTACTTGGGGAGTTGAGCCTCAGAAAAAGGGCTGGCCACTCCCCATTTTCCATTTCTAAGACACTGGGATTGCACTCAGGGAGAGCAGGCACACCCTGGTCAGGCCCTCCAGGAGCAAATCCCTGTGCCAGTACCCACCACCTTTCGGCATCAGGCTCCCCAACCAGAGGAAAGCACAAGAAACACAGCTCATCCGGATGTCTGTTCCCAGCACCCTGCACATATCTGGCCCAAAAGGAAACTAGAGGCAGATTTATTGAATGAGCATGAGTTTGAGGTCAGCCACTGTTGCAGGGTGGATTCCCTGGCAAGTTGACTCTGAGCCGGAGATCAGTGTGTAGAACATTAATGAGGGGTGTTCCCGGGACCCACACCCATGGGAAAGGGAAGAAAGCAGGGAGAAGCTGAAGGAGAAATCCAGCTACAATGTAGTCACAGCGAGACCGCAGCTGACCCTGTGGGGAGCGCTGAAGCAGGATGGCCCTTCAGAGTGGCCCTGAGTTCAGGCAAAGGGGTTGGGCCTTTCTACCTCCCAGTTGGCCAGTCACTGGATGTGGGCTTTCCCAGGGAGGGGTGTGACCTTGGCAGTGTAGCTTTCTTTAGTCCATTCCTGAAGAGGGCTGACAGCTGACGTGGAGGACTCTCCACTCACAACTCCCAGCAGCTGGGGGAGAGCGTCCTCCAGTCCTGCAGGGGAGACCTGGGTGCCTAGCCCACCTGGTGGCTGTCCCACACTGCTCCCTGTGGCGTCGCCACCCACTGTTCTGGGCCTTCCTTTTCTCCTGGTCCCCCTGTCCGGGCCAGCTCTTCTTTCCCTTCTTCCAGTCTCCCTCAGTGTCAGAGACTGCTCTAAGGAACGACACTTGCAAGGGGGTTGGAGCAGAAACTGGTCACCCTCCATGCTCAACTCTGGCCCTCCAGGGACCTCTCTGGGAGCTGAGAGCAGGCCCCTGGCTGCCCCTGCAGAAGGGTGTCCTCTGAGCTTGAGGCTTCTATATGCAGGAAGGCACATTTGAGTCTGTCCCTCAACCAGGTCCTGACTCTCTGGGCTGTGGACTCTGTCTCTCAATGCATTTTCTCCTTTGCCCTCCTCCCAAGTGGACCTCCAGCCCTGCCCTGACTCTCCTGCCTCAGATTCTAGATATAGCCCAGAAGCCCTGGTAGGAATTAGGTGGGTACTGCACTCTTCACAGAGAAGCAACTGGGCTGTGTGGGACCTCTGGCTCACATTTCCTGGTAGTAAATGATTGTCCGCCTTCATATGGGAGCTTGTGTCCCGGAATATCAGGTCCTTTATCTGTAAAACAAGATTAGTGAGAGGCACAGCAGAGGCACTGGGTAAATGTTTGTGGGGCAAAGGAGTAAGTGCATGGCCTGGGGAATGCAGCTGAGGGACATCGGCCAGCCAGTGTCAGACCAGGTCTGGGCTTGGAGCATGTCCACAGTGTGGTGGTTTAAAACCAGGGCAGAGTGGGGCAGGCCCTCTATCCATCACATACCAGCGTGTGCCTTTGGCAAATTGATGCACCTTCCGTTGTTAGTTTCCTCTTTGTGAAGCAGAGATAATAGTACTCACCTCCAGCGGTGGTTTGAGGGTTGAATTAGACCAAGCATACAGTGGTGTGCTGGGCACACAGTCAGCCCCCAGTACAGGTGTGTTTTCATTCTCACCGTTATGTCAGTTCTGCCTGACTCTGTGTCCACAGAACTTTCCATCACCTCGCACCCGCCTCGATCCCCTCTGGGATGAATATTCTCCAAGTCATCTTGCAAATAAACTCCCTGGCCCAGACCTAACAATGCAGCCTGCCTGCTTTAACTTGGAGTCTGAGCTCGTCCCTCCTGTATCAAACCCTTTAGAGAGCCTGTGAGGCTCCCAAGAGGAAGAAATGAATTGCTCAGCCTGCAGCAGCCCCCTGCTGTTCTTCTAGCTGGCTGGGGTCCCCATTAGTGAAACAGCCCAGCTTTCCCCCAGCAGGAGAGGACACTAGCTTCACAGGGCAGCGTGGAGCTGCGGGATTGGCAGTTCCTAATGGAGGGGGATGGCAATCCCAAACACTGCCCATTAGCAGCGGCTTCTGTGACCCCAGCCGCTCCCGCAGAGCAAACCTTCATCTCCACGTGTCCTCTCTGTGTGCCTGGTGGATGCTTTCCCCTCCCAGGATTGGTCATTAGCACTGAAGGGCGTGGCTGCCAGGCTCCAGGGGGCTTTCTTAGCAGGCTGGGGAGACGGCAAGGAAGGGACATGGAGTGAACAGTGGTCTGGTCCCCCAGAGGTTCGCTGTTGGCCAATATGCTGTGACCCATGGGCTTCCTTGGCCCAGGCCACAAGGTATCTTGCACGCAACTGCAAGGTAGACACGCAGTATCAAGAGTCTTTAGTTAATGGAGCTGTGTGGAGTTAGGGGGATCACAGCTCCATGGTTGGGGGTGGGTAGACACTAGGAGGAGTCTGTTGAATTCCACACTGAGTCCAGCAGTCAAGACCTAGTGATAAAGAACAAAGGCCAGGTCCCGGATAGGGGGTATGTGTAGGGCATGAGGATTTCTGGCAGGAGGGGCTGCAGGCTCAGAGCAGGAGTGAGGTAGTGGTTGGGGGCTATTGTTCCAACCAGATCCAAAGAAGGGCCCAGTAGTGGTGCCTGGGCAGACCCACAGGGTGAAGAAGGAAAGAAGTCACACCCCCAGTAGAAGGCTTAGAAAACCCGCAGTAAGTTCTTTCAGAATCACTCATCAGGTGGCATCATTTCCCTGCTTCCCATCTTCCAGTGGCTGCCCCCAGCCCAGGCTGCCCTGGCAAGTTTTTCACCCGACCTCACCCTCCTTGCTTTTGAGTCTTTGAAAATGTTCCCCAGCCTTTCCCCACCCCAGGGCCTTTGCTCATGCCACTCTACCTGGCAGGAAACCTCTACCTGCCTCAGACTCCAATACCAGCTCCCATCTTGCCCTTCTCAAAGCCTGGACTTCAGTATTTTCTCCAGGGAAGGACCAGTCCTGCCCACCTTACCTAAACTTATGCCCACCATCCTGTTATCCTCTACTTCAGCATCCTATTATGTTTCTTTTAGGCCTCTTATCATAATTTATTCTTACAGGGCTTCTTTGGTAGTTTATTTGTTTATTGTCTGTCTCTCCCTCCAGTTGAAAGACTCTAGGAGGGCAGAAACCACCTCTCTCTCTCTCTTACCATTATCTCCAGCCCTAAACATTCCAGAAGCCCTCAGTAAGTGTCAGCTGTTATTTCTACCAGTTTATTGCTGCTGTGATGGTAGTTACTGTAGGCTAGCAATAAATATCGCTTGAACACTGAGTGAGTATCAAGACTCACTCCAGCTCCCACTCACTTGAGGGGCTGCGATAGCAGATGTGCCAGGCCCCGGGCAGGCAGAAAACTCCTGGCTGTTCACTCTGCCCCCTGGTCCTCACAGGAGGTCAACTCAGCCCCAGAGGTGAGGCGAGCAAGCCCCAACACCATGATCCCTCTGCGTCCAACCTGCCCCTTCCAGGCCTGCCTAGCTCCTGGAGTCACCCCAGAAACTCCCCCCAGCACACATACTGTCATCTCTTCACCGTGAACTGTATTTAAAATGTAAATAAAAAAAGGCTTTTAGGAGATTTAACTGTTTCCCTTGGTATTTAAATTATTCAATTATAACTAAAGCTATTAAAATACAGTTAATTAAAATTGTTAGATTGTTTTCCTTTGCACTGATCGCAGCATTGCCAACTTCTCCCTCTAGCTGTTTAATTCCTATTAAAAATGATAATGCCTCGCTTTATTCATAAATGCAGCAACCTTCCCGCACATTCTTCAAGTGATCTCCTCAACACGAACCGCGCCGTGTTCTTTTCTTCTAGCAGTGAAGCGGAAATTCTGCTGTAGTCTTTAGAGGTTTAATCAGCAGTAAAAGGCCTCAAAATTTAAACATTAGCATTACCAAGTCACAACAAATAATGCAGCCCCCTGTTAAAAAAAAAAGTCTAATTCTAATGCAACGTAATGTCATTAGAGACCAAAGAAGAACCCTGAAGTTTAATAAACGGTGGGACCCAAATAAAGATTTCATAACTTACAACATAAAATCACCCGATCCACATGTTAAATATTTTATTTGAAAGGTTTCACAGCATTTCCAGTGGGAATAGCTCTGCAGTGGAAGTACAGATGGGTAAGTGCTGCCGGAACAGAAAGCAAGAAAAAAAAAAAAGGAAGAAAAGAAGGCTTCGAGGACCAGCTCTTAGCTTGTTGAGTTTGGCATGTATAAGATGGCGCACCCTGAGAAACTAATTGGTTCTAGTGTTTAAACTCCTGAGCCATGTGTTCCCACAAGGATAATGGCTCTTGCAGGTAATGATGGGCAAGGTGGCAACGTATTTAACTTTCTCGAATGTAGCAGGTGCCACCTCTAGAATTTGGAGTGATTTGTGAGCCACATGTGGTGGAGGGGGTGAGCCTTCCAGTCCCCAGATGGAGAAACGGAGGGTATAGTGATGAAATCAGCCCAAGCCATCAAGGGTGACCAGTTGATGAGGAGCCTTCTATGCTCCAAACCAGGCATGAGTAATAATTATCCCGCCCTCGAGGAACTCGGAGTCCAGCAGGGCCCTTGTAAACCACATATGGGGTACAAGTTCAGACTGCATTTGCTCCAATGAATTATTCCTGTGGGGAGGTGGAAGACTTCAAGAGAGAAGGAAAGATTGGTGCTTTGGCTGGCTGAGAAGATCTCTAGTGGCCCAGAGAAGAAGCATAGGAGAAGATCAAGACAAAGAGGCGGGAAAGAGATGGTGAGTTGGGGCCAATGAGTCATTTTTTAGGGCTGGAGCACGGGCTAGTGGGAAGGTTGTGGTGGGAAAATCTAAAGTCTTAGGAACCCCTTCAGGAAAGGTCTTGAACCTCATGCTTAGGAGTTTTGACTGTACTCTGAAGGTTGCCTACAATTTAGAGACCAACCAAAGCCCATTAACTACTTATGTCTGTCACAGAACTGGGTCCTTGGGAGGTAGTTGGTGGTGTTGAGTGTATTAGTCTGTTCTCATCCTGCTAATAAAGACATACCTGAGAGACTGGGTAACTTATAAAGGAAAGGTTTAATTGACTCATAGTTTCACAATGCTGGGGAGGTCTCATGATCATGGTGGAAGACAAAGGAGGAGCAAAGTCAAGTCTTACATGGTGACAGGCAAGAGAGCTTGTGTAGGGGAGCTCCACCTTATAAAAGCATCAGATCTCATAAGACTTATTCCCTATCATGAGAACAGCATGGGAAAGGCCCGCCCCCATGATTCAATTACCTCCCACTGGGTCCCTCCCACAACAAATGGGAATTATGGGAGCTACAATTCAAGATGAGATTTGGGTGGGGACACAGCCAAAAAATATCATTGAGTAAACCAATGAAAGACCTAATGCCTTTCGTGCACTAATTGTCTCTGGGAAAGCCATAGGTTTCACCAATAAGCTGGTGGGTACCCTATCCAAAGGATGGTCTCTGCCAACCTGAGCTCTTGGACCTTGGTCTGCCAGTGTCCTGGGCTCTCACACTGGGGCTATGGTCTTCCATATGGACCCATCCACTTTCATATTCTCTGTTGGGGATATGGGCTTTCTCCTTTGTGCAGCTACAGAACCATAATTGCTGAGCTGCTTAGGTTCACCACATGTGCCTCTTGGCCCAGAGAGGTGCAATGCCCAGGGAAGTATAGAGAGGGGATGGCTTGATGTTCACATCAATAGTGTTCTTCATTAGAAAAATGCAAGTGAAAACCACAATGACACCCACTGTGCAGCCACTACAGTGACTGTAAGCAAAAAGGCAGCAATGCCAAGTCTTGTGGTGAAGATGTGAAGAAACTGGAACCCTCATGCACTGCTTGTGGTGTGACCACCTTGGAAGACAGTTGAGAAGTATCTTAATGAGTTAACACATACCTCCTGTATAATCCAACTGTTCCATATCCGGGAAGAGAAATAAAAGCCTATGTCCATAAAAGACCTGAATAATTGTAGCAGCTTTATTCATAATTGCCAAAGAATGGAAACAGCTTTAGTATCCATCAACAGAGGAATGGATAAATTAACTCTTCTATATCCATTCAATGGAATATCACTCAGCGATAAAAAGGAATGCGCTATCAATACATACTACAGCATGAATGGATCTCAGAAGAATGATCCTGGGTGAAAGAAGCCAAGCAAACAAGAGTGCTTACTGTATGATGTCATTTCTATTAGGTTGGTGCAAAAATAATTGCGGTTTCTGCCATTACTTTTCATGGCAGCTTTGTTGTCATTTATATAATGGTTGGTGCAAAAGTAATTGCGGTTTTTGCCATTACTTTTAATGGCAAAAACCGCAATTACTTTTGCACCAAACTGTATAAAATTTTAGGTAATGCAAACTAATCTGTAGTAACAGAAAGCAGTTGTCTGGGGGATGGAGGTGGTTAGGAAGGAGCCATAGGAAGGAGTTATGAAGGAGCAGGAGACTCAGGCATGACAGTTGTGTTCATTCTTTTGACAGTGGTAATGGCCTCGTGGGTATATACATGTGTCAAACTTACAAAAGTATACACTTTAAATACTTGCAGACTGTTGTATGGCAACTGTGCCTCAACAAAGCTGCTTTTTAAAAAGTTAAAAGAGCTAGGACTTCAGAGTTTTCTTTTTCATAATTTTAATTTTGGTATGGTTTCACATGTACAGAGAGGCAAGAATAGTTCAGGACCCCCACATGCCCCCCACCTTGATCCACCCACCACTCACATGTTATCTCATGTGCTGTATTGTTCTCTTTCTATTTTGCTTCTCTGAACTATTTGAGAATTAAATTGGAGTTGTTGTTTGCCATTCATCTTAAATGCTGTAGTGTGTCTTTCTTTCTTTTCTTTCTCTTTCTTTCTTTCTTTTTCTTTCTTTCTTTTTTTCTTTCTTTCTTCTTTCTTTCTTCCATCTTTCTATCTCTCTTTCTTTTTTTTGACAGAGTTTTGCTCTTTCACCCAGGCTGGAGTGAAATGGCACGATCTTGGCTCACTGCAACCTTCTCCCCTGGGTTCAAGCAATTCTCTTGCCTCAACCTCCCAAGTAGCTGGGATTTACAGGCGTGCACCACCATGCCTGGCTGATTTTTTTATTTTTAGTAGAGACGGGGTTTTGCCATGTTGGCCAGGCTGGTCTCAAACTCCTGCCCTCAGGTGATCCACCTGCTTTGGCCTCCCAAACTGCTGGGATTACAGGCACGAGCCACCATGCCCTACCTAGTGTGTATTTCTTAAGAACAAGCCACTCTCCTACCCTCCAAAGTATTGTTATCAAAATTAGAAATTTTAACATTGATGCGATACTAGTATTATCCGATCGGGACTCCATATTCAAATGTCCCCAGTTGTCCCCCACAGTGCCCTTTATAGCTGTCTTCTCCACACTCTGGGATCCACTCCTTAAGCCCACAACTCCTTCCACTCTTGCGTCCTAGTGTCCTCTGACCTGAGTTCAAGTCCTGGCTCCATCACTTATCCCATGACCGCACGGACACTCGCCCCCTGCAGCCTGAGGGAAGGCTGAAGGAGAGGACATCTGTGCAGCGTCTCCAGCATGGTGCAGTGCCGAGGGAGCTTTTGGGGAGTGGGCAGCAGCATGCACAGCCCAGTGCACCCAGAGCCATTGCCCCAGACATTCTTCAAACACCTGCAGTGTGCAGGCTGGCCTCATCTCAAACAGAGCCCTGTGGTCCGGTTTCTCCTGCCCAGCCTCTCCCTGCCCTCCTCTCGCATCCTCAATATTGTCACGCTGACCCAGAGCAATAAGCATTTCCCAGCAGCTCATCAAAGGCAGCCGTCCTCTGGCAAAAGAGACAAGTGGGCTGCAATTGTGACTTTTCAAAAGCTTCAATTGGTGAAATAATTCCCTCTGGAGTTTTTTTGGAATATAACATTTTTCTTCTTGTTTAAAAAAATGTGTCATTCTTTTTCCTTCTCCCCTTCCTACCACGTATTACTCAATGCTGCAGGAAGTTCAGCCTCAACAGTGAAGATGCCCTCATCCGGGCAGGAGGTGTCCCTGGTCATCAGCTCCATCTCTCAGGGCCTCCTTCCCACACTGGAACACATGACCTGTACCTCCCTGGACTGAGCTGACCCATGAGGGTGGACCATGACCAGGAGGAGCCGGGCCAGGGGCTGCTGCCTGGAAGGTAGCCTGGAGTGAAAGCTTTGCCCATTTGGGATAATGATAACTAAATCTTCAGATCATCTCTCTTGGGTAGTTTAAATGCAGTGGGAACTCAGCTGCTTGGCTTGGCATATGTAATATAAGTGAAAAGATCACCAACAGAAGGGTGCAGGGGAGCTCAACCTGCAGAGTCACAAGCAAATGGAGGCTGCGTGTGGACCTGAGACTGAGACATGCAGAGAAGATGGAGCGGTGGGCTGGAGGGAGCTCGAGGTCAGTGCAGTGACCGAGGTGCCAGTCTGGGAAGCAGAGTGCCACATGTGACAAGAGGGAGTGACATCACATCCTGGTATGCTAACCTCCCCCCAGTCCTGCAGACACCTCCCCCAGATTCTTACACTGCCTGGCTGTATCTGCTTCCTAGGGTTGTCAAGGAAACAAATGACCCTAAACTGATGGGGGCGAGAAGCCTGAAATCAGGGTGTCAGCCAAGTGGGCTCCCTCTGGAGGCCCTTAGGGAGAATCTATCCACATCTCTTTCCTGGCTCCTGGTGGCTCCAGCCATGCTCAGCACTCCTTGGCTGGCAGGCACATTCTCCAGCCTCTGCCTCTGCCTTCACTTCTATCATCACAGGACTTCTCCCTTGTGTCTCTGTGCCTTTTCCTTTTCTGTCTCTTGAAAAGACACCTGCCATTGTTTTTAGGCCCACCAAGGTCTAAATTCAGAATGAGCTCATCTCAAGATTCTTACATTATCTCTGCAAAGACCCTAATTTCAAATGCCCCATTCTGTGGTTCCAGGTAGACATGATTGAGGGTAAGGGGCACTGTTCAACCCAGTACACTGGTTGTGAGGGTGAAGGTTCCAGTCCTCACTATGGCTCCCTCAGTCCTTGCTACAAGACTCCAAAGCATGGGCTTGCTTGGACAAGTGGCTATTCCTTGAAACCTTGAGAACCTTGTTGTTTAAAAGAATAAGTCTCATGGGAGGAGTGTGGGCTTTTCTATGGGCTGAAGTGTCTCAGGTGGTCTCTGAGCCTCATTCTTCAGATCTCAACTTTCTACCAGCCCCAGCTGGTCCAAGATTATTAGGCAACTGGTGGAGATAATGTAGGGAAGGAAGGGTTTGTTAGAGAGAAGACCTGTGTAGTGCTGGAAACAGACACAATTTGTGAGTTGTGGATGGCACAGAGATCCCAGAGCAAGCAGGGATGCTGGGAGGGTGAGTGACAGCAGAGAAACCCTACCTGAGCTTCTTACCAGGCAGTAGCATTGGACTCATACTTACCGCTCTGAGCCTCAGTGTCCTCACCACTTACTCGATTTCACAAATGCCAGTTGGACACCTGTTAGGTTCCAGAACCAGGCTGGGTGGTGGAAACATGGCAGTGGGGAAGGCATGTCCCCACCGGGGCTTGACGAGCTCCCCATATGATGGAGGAGAAAGGCTCATGAAGGACCAAGGGGTCATCAGGCACTAAGGGCTGCAACAGCATTCGGTACAGCACCCTGGGAACACTGGTGGTGAGGTAGGCAGGGAAACACCCCTAAAAGAGGTGATGCCAAGCTGGGTCTTAAAGGAAGCTTAAGAGTCGTTCAGGAAGACAGCAGAGACTACGGTCCCAAGCTAAGCTCATGGCAGGAGCTTGCCCTTGGAAGTGCAGTATGGCCCTTGGAAGTGCTCTGTGTATTCCGAAAGGACATCATCACCTCTACGGGGTTGGAGGGTAGGGACTGTGGTGGAGACTGCTAGAGACAAGCTTGTAGAGAGAAGCAGAAACACTTGAATGCAAAGGAGTTGGGACTTTATTCTGTACCTGCTGGGGGCCGTTGGAGGCTGTTAAGCCTACTGTGTAGGGTGAACAAATTTGCAGTGCAGAAAGATCACTCAGGCAGCAAGAGGGGACAGAGGGCGCAGGCTGGGAGCAGGGAAACAAGCAGGAAGCTATTGCAACAGCCCCGTGAGAGATGACAAGGGCAGTGGCATGCGACGGAGAAGAAGGAGTGGATGCAAGAGGTATGTGAGGAGCAACCTGCACGGGGCTTGGTGACCTCACACCAGCCAGCTTTGCTGACCTGTCTGTGGGTCACAGAAGATAATGGATGTGATGCACTTTGAAAGCTGCAGAGCACCTTGTCTGGGTGCCATGGCTGGTTTTGACCAGATCATGAAATGCAGCCTCTCTCCTCCTCCCTGGCTCATCTCTGCTGCTTGCTTTTGCCTGTAAGCAAGGGAGAGAGGGGAGGTGAAAAACAGAGACATTAAGTGCCAAAGCTTATGTTAATACAGCATTAAGGTTGAAAATGTAATCTCCTAGGAGTCAGGAAATTCCGAACAAGGGGTTTCCATGGCAACCCAGCCACACTGCTCCTCTGTCCATTCGGGCCCTGTTTTCCTTGTTAAATATGATCCCATCGTATATTATATGTTATCGAGTTAAATGTGCTACCCACAGCATGCAGAGCTCCAGCCAGCAGCCCTCAGAGCTGCAGGAAATGAGTGTGTGTGTGTGTGTGTGTGTGTGTGTGTCCAGGGGTGGGAGCCTTCAGAATTCGCCTAATATAACACAGCCACATCTTAGGTCCTCGTATCTAATAAATGAGGTGTAATTCCATTAAGAGCAGCTCCTGTGTACACCAATGAGCAAGGAGGCTGCAAGCCCTGTGTTCAGAAGGGGTCGTTCAGGGTGCCTGCCCCTGCTTGGGGTGGGTAGGTGAGGGACGTGGCAGATTCCATCACATCCCCCACAGGAGTGCCCAGCAGCTCCGGCAGGACCATCCCTGCCACCCGGGGCTGCCTCCTGGATGCAGTTCTGAAGAGGTGAACTGGAATTACCTGACCCAGTGGTTCTTCTCACATGCCAGCCGATTGAAGATCAGCTGTCACTGTTAGTTAGCATCCCAGGGTACACTGGGCACCAGCAAACAGATGCGGAAAGGAAATTTGATGCTTCTCCAAACCCTGTCTCCCCACTAACACACCACAGTGGACAAAAGACTTCCAAAGACTTCCTCGGTGGCAGTGGGAGTTAGAAAGAAGGGGGAAATGACTGTCAGGGAGGGCAGCTAAGTAGTGCAGTGTGTGACGGAGAAACATCTGTAGGATAATACAGCGGAAAAAGCATGGAATGTTAGAATCAGGCTGCCTGACCTCAGCCGTCTCCCAGCCATGCGGTCTTCAGCAAGTCCCTTAATTTCCCTTTGTCTTAGTTTTTTCATCTGCAAAATTGGGATAAAATTACCATTAACCTCACACAGGCTTGTTGGAGGATTAAATGGGATAATTGATGCAAAAGCTCACTGTAAACTTCTAAATCCCTATACAAATGTCACTCTTCCAGGGAGCTCTAGAAAACCATGCTGGATTCTGGACTACTACAGTAGGCTGTAGAAATTTTGTGATTGGTTCTGGAATTCTGCGTTGGGTTCCAGAATTCATGGATGGGTCTAGAACACAGACAGACTTTTTCTGTAAAGACTCAGATCATAAATATTTTGGGATTTGAGGGCCATGCTGTGACTACTCAAGTTTTCTGGAGATAAGAAATGAATGGGCATGGCTGGGTTCCAATAAAACTTTATTTACAAAAACAGAAAGTGAACCAGATTTGACCTGTGAGCTGTACTTTGCCAGCCCGGGTCTACAGTGATCTGTGTAGGAAAGCAGTTTTGTGAGAATGCTACTCCTCTCCTCAGAATTTAACTCTCCCTCTTTGACACCCTCCTATCCTCCCATCTCCCACCCACTCACATCCATACCTCTTTCTTTACCCAGCCAACTCAACCTTCCAAAACCAGTTAGAGTCAGCTGCTCCACGAGCAAATTGCAGTCACTTTTGGCCCTTGCCTGCCTCCCTCACAGACTGTGAGATCCTTCCAGCAACCAGCTATGTTACCCAAGGCCCTAGCCCTTAGTCAATGTTTGGTCAATGTTTGTAGAATAGATGGTATGAAAAAACAACAACAAACAAACAAACAAAACAAAAAACAGAAAACAAAAAAACATCCCAGGGAGCCAGGACATTGTCATTCTCAGGAAATCTGTGAGCTGGGATCGTTTCCAAAATCTCAGGTCTGGGCACCAATCCTCTAGTTATAAGCTACTCCGTCAGGGCTTCTAGAACCATCAGTAGGCAGCATCTTTATAGATGCAGGCCAACTTGTGTGTCCACAACCCAAGCCTGGGGCCAACCTGTTGTCTACATAGGCGTGGTGGTGCCCTGTGGCAGCAGGCCAGATGGGCAGGAGCAGGTCAGCGGAAGGCTATAACCTTAGCGAGAAGGTGACAGCCACAGCACCCCTCCCTCTGAGGGAAGGCGCCCCATGTGATCAAGCACATGTGTTCCTGCTCATGACAGCGCAGCAGCCTCCTCATGCCACCCTCGGGGAGCCTCAGCCTCCTCCAGGCTGATGATGTGGAAACTTCCAGAAGTGCAGCAGCCTCTCAGCTTTCCCATTTGCTAGCTTCCCCCATCCTCCTCCTGGGCACAGCAGACAGGCAGAACCAAGTTGTGTAACTCACCTCTGAGTCACACTTCCCCTGTTTCCCCCAGCACGGCATCTGCTTTCTGCCTGACAGAGCCAGGCTTCCTCGGGACAGCCAGACAGGCGGCTATTGTTCAAAAGTCAGGGCCGGTTTGATGGGCTCTCCCGCCCCCAGTAGATGAGCTAGGAAGATGTCACTTTTAATTACAACGGTGAGGGAATAGGTATAGGTGTGTGCGTGTGTGTGTATGGAGCAGGGTTCCACAGGCTTGTGCAATGTGCGTGTGTCTTCACATCGTGACGTGGGTGTGTCGTTAGTGCAGGCTTGTGTATTGCATAGGTGTGTGATGGGTACATGTGTGCTTGCACACGCAGGGCTTTGTGTGTGCACAGGCAGATGCTTTTGGGTACATGGGAGGCTGTTTTTCCTATACGTGCTGTGTGCCTAAGAATGTCTGCTGTGTGGCCATGTGCTTTCATCCGGGTCTGTGCGTGTCTTTAATTTAGGACTCCTTCTCCTGGAGGATTCGATAGCTTCCACCCTCTAGCCTTGGCAAATGAATATTTTATTACTTTTCTTTTGCCATAGCATTAAGCAGTTTTCCTGCGAAGAGCGAGAGCATGACACACTCCAGCAGACAGAGACAAGGCCTCTGATGTCAGAGCCCTGAAAAGCAAATCACCCTACGACGACGTCCCAGGAGGGCTCGCAGATGCTGGGTGTTAGGGCCATTAACAACTGATGAGTCAGCCCTTTACCCGTTCGTCCGACAGCATTCTCTCGAAATATAAAGCCAGCACACCCATTTCACAGGAGGCTGGAGGGAGCTCCCTGCCACTCCTCCCAAAGCCAGCCCAAAGCTGTTTAATTTTTTTTCTCACTTCCTGGTCCTCCTGTTAGGCAAAAGGCTGAATCCTGGGAACAGAAGATCATCGTATAACCCAGAGCCGGCAAGTGAAAGGTCCTGACTTCTCCCCAGGCTCAGGGTGAGGGCCAGGCAGCCAGGCTGAGAAGGAGCCAAGAACACAGGAGGCAGGAGGCCGTGGAGGCACAGTGGGAACACCGATATCAAGACAGTGAACAAAGACAAGCATGTAAAGGATGGATTCGTAAATAGGTCATCTTTATATTTCACTCCCCCTCGGGACAGTCTGCAAGGCTGGGGAGGACATGTCTCAGGCTGACCCGCTGAGGAATGGGTTGTACACCACCAACTCTAACCTAATTGGTAGAGGGTTGGCTGCCCCCATAGGCAAAACTAGCACCCTGTGCTGCAGGCCCAGGAAGCTTTAGACATAAGGCAAACTGCTGAGAAGGCCAACGGGGTAGGCTCTGCCATAGCACCCCTGAAAGGCAAGTGGCCTGTCCCACGTCTCCAGAGCTGCAGAGCCACGCCAGGCCCTTGCACTCCTGTCTCTCCAGCGGCTCTCTCCATCCACAGTGACTCAGATGGTGGTAGAAGCTCCTAGCTTCCCTGTCTCCCATCTCTCTAGAAGATGGCTTGGAGCAAGAAGTGCTTACTCCGGGACCTTGAGGCTGGGCCCGTGTGGGGCAGGGGCTGCTCCCCACTGCTGGCAGTGAGTCTGCCACCCAAGTTCTCTGAACCAGAGCAGCCAGGATGGGGATGAAACAGAGCCACATCTGAAACTCTGGAGCACTGGAGCTGGAGACATCATTCCTTGGTTCGCTCCTTCCACAGATAGTCACTGGGTGCTGACTGCATGTTCTGGAATAAGTGTAAAAGTCCCCAAACAAGAGCATTAGAAAAATAAACAGTGTAAAGGGGCTGGGTGTGGGGCTCACACCTGTAATCCCAGTACTTTGGGAGGTCAAGGTGAGAGAATTGCATGAGCCTAGGAGTTCGACACCACCCTGGGCAACATGGCAAGACCCTGTCTCTACCAAAAATACAAAAATTAGCCAGGTGTGATGGTGCATGCCTATAGTCCCATCTACTGGGGGTGCTGAGGTGGGAAGATCATTTGAGCCTGGGAGGTTGAGGCTGCAGTGAGCTATGATCTCACCACTGCAGTCCAGCCTGGGCAACAGAGCAAGACCCTTAAGACCCTGTGAAAGAGAAAAAAAAGAAAGAAAGAAAGAAAGAAAGAAAGAAAGAAAGAAAGAAAGAAAGAAAGAAAGAAAGAAAGAAAGAAAGAAAGAGAGAGAGGAAGAAAGAGAAAAAGAAAAAAAGAAAGAGGGAAAGAAAAGAAAGGGAGAGAAAAGGAGAAAGAAAGAAAGAAAGAAAGAAAGAAAGAAAGAAAGAAAGAAAGAAAGAAAAGAAAGAAAGAGAGGAAGGAAGGAAGGAGGGAAGGGAGCGAGGGAGGGAGAAAGAGAGAGAGAGACAGAAAGAAAGAAAGAAAAGAAAGAAAGAAAGAAAGAAAGAAAGAAAGAAAGAAAGAAAGAAAGAAAGAAAAGAAAGAAAGGAGGGAGGGAGGGGGAGAAGGGAAAGGGGAAGGGGAAGGGGAAGGGGAAGGGGAAGGGGAAGGGAAGGATGAACAAACAGGAGCCTCCTGAGGCTTTTCCATGCTCCGCCCCTGCCCCCTTCCCACCCATGAATCCTGATAGCATGTTCTTCGTGCTTTCCTTACACCTCTCATTTACCTGCTCTTCCCTGCTGCTGAACTCTGGCTGGAGTGGTAATAAGAGTCATGATTACTATTACTGCCAAGCTCCTTCTTTGTATTGAGCCTTGTGCCTCCCACACATTGCTTTGCAATAATGTGATGAGTTAGGTTCTAGTATCTGCATTTTACAGATAAAGAAATTGAGGTTCTGAGAAGTCCTGGTTCTCACCTCAGGTCACCCTGCAATGGGCATGGCAGAGATTTGACTGGCTCGATGCCTGTGAAGTGGGTCTTAACACTCTTGTCATAGGTTTCTCACTGGTCTGTGAGCTCCTTGGGGACAGGGCAGTGCCTGACCCACTTGCCTTCAAATGCTCCCCAGAGCTTGGCATCTGGGCCTGCACGGGTGGCCGTCTAGTGGAGGCTCCTTTTGTCTTCTGCTCATCTGACCAGGAGTTCCTGAGTGGCATGTGCCTTAGCAATCATTTGAAGGGTCTGTGGCCAGGCCTGCCCTCAGGCCTCAAGCCACCCCAGTGACCTTCTGCAGCAGCCCTCCCAAAGAAAGAAGTGGGGTTCTTCCCCAAGAAACAGGCAAGCATTGAAACAGGCAGAACAGGAATTCAAAATGTATCCTCACAAGACCCAGCTGTGTGGTCTGGAGCAGGTTACCTAGCATCTCTGGGCCTCTGTTTCCTCCAGTGGGGGATCTGGCCCCTCCCAGGAATGTTATGAGGATGGGACTTGAGTGATATATGGCAGGCCCCAGCAGCAGTGACCCTGACCTTCAGGAAGCTCTCAGCAAATACCGATTCCACCCTGACCAGACTGTGAGCTTTCTGAGGCCAGAGAAAGGGTTTTGCTCGTCTCTCTCTCTAGCATGCCCAGCCCAGGGACTAGCACCACGTGGGGTCCTGCTAAGCGATGCTGCTGTGAAACTGTCCTCAGCCTGGTGGCATTTATAAGAGCTGGCCCTAACATGCAGGCTTGTGAGGTCTCCACCAGAAAACGCACAAGTGTGTGCTTCACAGCCAGGATGCAGGCCTGCAGGTGCTGTTCTTAGAAATCGTAGCTGTTCCCTTCTTTCTCTTTGTTTTTCTTTGGCCACTGTCCTTGGTCCCACACCTGCAGTCACAGTCAAAGGCTATGAGAACAAAGTGCCCTGCCTGTGCTGAGTGAATATGCAGGGCAGAGGGCAAACAGAGGGATGAGGCAGGAGGGCCTGCAGACGTAAGATGCACATGGCAGGTAAGGGCTCCCTTTCCTGCCATGGGGCCACCCCCGCCACCCAGCCCTGGCCTCTCTGGCTGGCCTAGCTCTCTTGGGCTGAAGGTGCCACTTGCTACCACCAGAACCCCGTGCCGGGGCTTCTACTGCAGCCCATCCCTGCTCTTCTCCAGCTTTCCTTTATTGCCAACCTGGCTCCCAGGTGGTGCCTGGGGCTGGTCTGTCTGCTTCCCGGCTGGCTCCTCTTGCTCACCAGCACTCCAAGTTCCAAGATGCTCATCCCTGCTCTCAGTTGTTTGGCACCATATTGCTGTCCTCTTGTCCCATTCCCCTCTTGGTAAAATCCTTGTTTTCAGCTTTATTTGGTACCATCTTTACTGCAGACAGCAAGTCTGCTCTCAGGAGTCCTGCTCATCTGTGGGCTACTGAGAAATCCCCACTTAGTACAAACCACCAGTCCATCAGAGCCCACCTTGCCTGGTGATCACTCAGGAGTGCCCACCTTCTCGCTCCTTCTCCTGGGCCATGATGCCTCTTCTGCCTTCACTAAGTCTAGGTGGTGGGGGAGCCACTGAGCCCAGCCCTTCCCTATCCCCCCACTCTTCCCGCAGCTGGGGCCTCCCATGCCAAGCCTGGCACTGACAGCAGGCGCCATGGAGGGCAGACGACTAGCTGGGGGATGAAAACCTCCATTCACGACAATATCAAATCCCTGGCTCCAGAGAGGGAGACAGGTTTGCTCCCAGTTGGAGACATCACGGGTGAGGGAAGCCGATACGAGAGGAGCGTCTGCTTAATGCAGGCTCTGTTTTTTTCACCTGGCAGGCCAAACACAGCAGCTCACTTGTGTCTCTGAAATCCTAACTGGCTTCCGACGGGGAGCTTTGGGGACTGCAGGGGAGACATGAGGCAGAGTGTGCCAGGCATTCCCCCAGCCAAATCCCAGCTAAGCCAGGGCAGAGACTCAGGGGAAGGCCTGGTGACGGCGGGCCACACCCACATCCAGGGAGGACTGTCAGAAGAAGCGAAGCCACGTTATCCAACCACCCACAGCCCTTCAATTGCCTTTTTATTTTCCCTGCTCTGCTTTCCAAGTGTATCCTGTAAAGCGGGTACAAAGGAATCATAGACTATCAGTGGTGAGGGCCTTGAGCAATTTTTTCATTCTGTTTTCAACTTTTGAGGGTAACCCCCGTAAAGGTAAGCCTCCTCATAAATCTGTATGCTAAACGTGTAAACACAAAGCCATAAACTCTCTCTCAAGAAAACTGTATGCCCCAAATTGAGCATATAATTATATGGAATTCACAGACCCTGAGATTCCACTCTGTAAGCCCCGTAAAGTCCATGTTGAGGATATTTTCCAATGTCTCCTTCAATGGCTGGGAAAGCTGTCTCCAAATAGGGACATCTGACTTGCCAGGAAAACACAGCGTGCAGTTGACAGAGAAGGGATCATATTTACATTTATTTGGTAAAAAAGGAAGTGTGACTATTCATGGAATATGTTTTGTAAATGAGAAATATCAAGCTCAGAGTGGCCACTGGGCTTGCACAACCTCCCTAGTTGTCCTCCCATAGCTCCATCCCCCACCATGTTCCACAATGGAAGAATGTTTAGCTGGGCACTTGGCAGCCTACCGTTTCCAGCATCCCTTACAGCTATGTATGGTCTTGCCTCTAAGCTCTACCAATAGGATGTGAGCAGAGATGTGTGGAATTCGAAGTCATATCTTTGAGATGAATGAGTGCGCCCCCCTCCCTCTTTTCTTTCATTCCACTAAGTGGATTGCAGATGTGACAACGGGAGTTGGAACAGCCTTTCTGGGCCGCATGTTCAAGGCTGGGTATGACTAAAAAGGTGGGAGGAATCTGGGGCTC
This sequence comes from Homo sapiens, assembly GCF_000001405.40. NCBI lineage: Eukaryota > Metazoa > Chordata > Mammalia > Primates > Hominidae > Homo > Homo sapiens. Next base: position 78,762,640 of record NC_000010.11, read on the forward strand.
TGATGTTTGTGGAGCTACTAGACCAACCTGGGACCAGGTACCTGGGCTTTTACTTCTTCAGCCCCCATTATTTTAAATTTCTTTGCCATTGCCTTAGAGTCACAGTTTTAACTCACAACCTCAGATTCCATTTGTCCCCTCATCCAGTAGGTCTCCAAGTCCCCTCAGTGATGGGCATTTCTACCTATCCTTTGTCTTATTCTCATCCCCTTTGCCGCTGCTCTACTCCTAGATCCTGGGGTGGTCCAAGGACCTCTAAGGAGACCTCTTTGTTACAGGCAAACTGCCCTCCAGGCTGGAGCAGCTTTTCTGAAATGCACTCCTGAGCTGGACACTCTATTTCGTCAGCCCTCCAATAGCTCCCTACTCAGCATAGAGCGAAGCCCACTCTCCCCTTCACCTGCTACCAGCCTGCCTCACCAACCCCATCTCTTGCTGCTTACTTCAAACTGCCTGTGCTTCCTATACAGGGAATTGTCTGCCCTTTTCCAAGCTCCATGCCACCTCCAAAGCTTCCCCACGTCTCCTGGACAGCCTGGTATGTTCTTCTCCAAGGTCCACCTCCTTGGCCAGCCCACCCAGCACCTCTTCCCGCATGCCCCACATCACCTTGGCCGTATCTCCATTGTAGCAGGGAACTCCAGTAACTGATGTCATCTGTCTCCTGCCAGGACAATCAATGCCAGAGTGCTAGAGTGGCTTCCCTAAATCCCTAGGTGCTCACCGTGTTGCCAGGATCTTCTGCTCAAGACAATTCTGTTGAGTAGAAACGTATTACTGGAGTAGGCAATGGAACTCAGCTTTCTTTACACCTCTGTGGGGCCCATCCTGCTCTGTTGTGCCTTGTCACCCTAGTGAGGAATTTATTCCTTCACTCCTTCAATCTTTTGTTTCTTCTTTCTGCAAGCGTAACTTCAATGCCGGCACAGTGCCTGGTAGAAGCAGAATTTGCTGAATGCATGAACGTATGCATTCACTGAGTGCTTTTTATTCTATTTTATTTTAGTTTAGTTTAGTTTAGTTTCATTTGCCAGACTCTGACAAAAGGAAGCTGAGCTCTGTTTCTGCGCTTGACACTGGGCACACAGAGCTGGAGAAAGCCCAAGCCTGCTCTCCAGGACTTCCCAGCCTGGTGGGTCAGAGGAGGCCAGGGCCGTGGGGGAAGATGGAGCCACTGGCTCCCCAGCACCTCCTGGGTGGGTCTCTGTAACATTTATTTTTGCCTAAATGATGTAACCAGACCCGAGGAACTGGTCTTCCCCGCTCCTGTGGGCGGGCTGGAAGAGGTGAGAGGCAGAGTGATCTGACGCTTCTGGCAACGTGATGAAGTCGTTTTCAGAAAGACAGTTTTGTTCTGACTTGAGTGTTTTTCCACATGACTTCATCCCCCGGCAGGCCTTGCTTGGGTCTTATTTTTTGATGGGCCCCAGCCCCATCTGTGTGGATAAAATGGCCTCTGAACCCTTCCCTGGGGCAGCTGTGACAGGACAAGCAAGGTCTGTTTGCTGCCCCAGGCCAAGCACCTGGCTCTGCCACCCACTGCCCTGCAAATGGCCTGATTGCAGGCAGCCTTGCCCACAGCAGGAAGAGGCCCCACAGGGCCTGGGAGTCAGGCAGGACAGCAGGGCTGGAGCCAACCTGCCTACCGTGTGGCCCAAAGGCTTCCCTCCAACCTGGAAAGACCTAACCCTGTCCTCTCTGACCTCAGTTTCTTCACCTGCAAATGAGGGTGAGCATCAGTCATGGTTCACAAGGCCCCTGGGAAGATTCAGTGATGTAAGGACACATGGAGGACCATTGCTTCTGTTGCCAGTGATGGTTCCTGCATTCACTTCTTTGTCGGCTCCCTCACTCAAACCTCGATGGGCTCCTCCACAGGCCAGAACCTCCCAGTGTGTCTGCAGACAGACCAGGAAAATGGAGAGTTACAAATCAGTGTGGTGGGGGCTACAAAGGACCGTGCACAGTGTGCTGTGCCTATGCAAAGGAGTGGGCGACCAGCCCTGTGGTCAGGGTGGGGTGAGGTGAAGTCAAAGGAAACTTCTTGGAAAGGAACTTTGGGTTAGGCCTTAAAAAAGGAGAAGCAGCTCACAAAGCAAAACCAGGGCACTGGAGTGAGATGCAGGGGCCCAGCTCGGGTACCATCAGGAAGGATTTGGTGCATGCAGCAGAGACCAGAGGGAGTGCTGAGGCAGGAAGCCGTGTGCTCTCCACTTACAGAAACTCCAGTGCAGTAAGGCCCTGGATCCTTCAGAGGCCCAATGACCCCCAGCAGACACCCAGGCTCAGCCCTCATTTCCACTTGGTCTCCCTCCATGTCCTAGCTTTTAGCCCTTTGTTTGCTGCCACATGGTCAAAAGATGGCTGCTGCAGCTCTAAGCATCTCATCCGTATGCAACTCAGGTCCAGGCAGGATGAAGGGCAAAGGCAAGACTCAAGGAAACTCTCTGCCCCCTTCTGTCCCCTAAGGCCTCAAAGAACCTCCCCTGGTTCTCACTGACTCAGTCATTGGACCTGCCACCCCTGGCTGTGAGGAAGGCTAAGGGAGTACCTGGCAAAGGGGTTTAGAATGACCATGATTGACCTACACTAGGGCTGGGCAGGGGCCATGATACAAGAGTCTTCTGCCCACCGCCCAACAACATCAGGATTGTAGCACCAGGGAGGACAGGCGGCTGGAAGGAAAAATAAGGAGCAGGGTGGTCACACGTGGGGTGAGTGTCAAGCAGGAGGCTTGGAGTGGCTTGTGTGGTGAAGCAAGGTGGGAGGAGGCTGGGATTAGACAAGAATTTAACTAGAAATCTTAGAATCTGGGGAGGGCAATCCATCCACAGGGTCTGGACTTGAGGTTGATCTATGTCTCAAAACGACCACTTGGCCAGCAGTGGGAACTACCTGGAGGGGCAGAGGCTCCACTGTCAACTTCCTTCTGTGCGAGGCTGTGGGGTCCCTGAGGGTGAGGGGCTGGATCTTATTCATTTTAACATCCCTAGCTCCTTCCACAATGCTGCTCCTACCAAAAAAGATTGCCGAATGAATGAATAAGCGAATGAATGAGTGAAGGACACAGCCTCCCCCAGCATCAATTCCCTCCTCTGTATCATGGGGTCAAGAGTAACAGTGCCTACCTTGCAGGGCTGCTGTGAAGATCAGATGAGTTGATTGCTGGGGCGATGCCTAATAAAGAAGAAGGCTCCTGCGGGCAGAAAGGAGGAGGCGATGGAATGTGGGTTGACTTGCACCCACTCCGGCGCCAACATAGGCTCCCGCCTGCTGGAACCACTCACGGCCTGACCACACCAAGCAGCCTGGAGGAGCCTGCATGGCCTCCCTGGATTTTCAGAAGAGGAGGCGAGGAAACACCTGGAGCAGCCCAGTGGGTCCTGCCAAAGACAACGATGGGAGAGTGATGAGGATAAACAGCTGTCTGTCTCTGGTAATGCAATTAGGAGCTAAAATATTAAACACTTTACGACAGGACATACATCTCCCACATAACGAGCTGCCTCTTGCAAAGCAGGCATTGTCCGAGCAGGGAGACAGGCAGGCCTAGATCTTAGACCCAGCAGCCTCTGCCGAGGGCAACAAACCCGCATGCCATCATCATTTTGGAAGCTCCCCATTTCATCGTCGTGGTAATGGGGATTGTCAGCTTCACAGTCACCATTTGCTGAGGTGCTGCTAGCAGCAACACTCTCAGGAATTTGCACATATGCTGAGCCACTTTCTTCTCAAGGAAGAAGTGTGGGGTAGAGGATATAGGGGAAACTGAAGCCCACAGTTGTTAAATAACTCACCCATGGCCACTCTTCTCACAAGAGGCAAAACTGCCTGGCAGCTGCTGTCCTCTGCAAGAAGCCAAAGCACCCTCCTGGCTATGTGAAGAGAGAGATGGAATGGGTTAATAGATGGAGCAGATGGGGAGTATGAATTTCAGCGTATCCTGGGATGGCCCACAGAGCCAGTGCACCTCTGTGACTCTGGGGTCCCAGATGCTGGGACACATGACTGTTTACCTGATCTAGATGTGTAAACACCCAGATTTCTGGGCCATTTGTGTCTCAGGAAAAGCTCTAGCTGGCCACCTCTTGACTTTGATGGTGAATCATTGATGCTCTAATGAGTTTGAGTTGACACAGATTTGTGGTACTACAGTGGAATTCCAGGAATCATCAGTTAGGACACTTCATGGCACTTCCAGAAACATACTTCTTAGGCAACCAAGCACTTCTAGACACATGTTTTTGTTTTTTGTTTGTTTGTTTTGTTTGTTTGTTTGTGTTGGAATCTCGCTCTGTCACCCAGGCTGGAGTGCAGTAGCTCAATCTCCGCTCACTGCAGGCTCCGCCTCCCAGGTTCACGCCATTCTCCTGCCTCAGCCTCCCGAGTAGCTGGGACTACAGGTGCCCACCACAACGCCTGGCTAATTTTTTGTATTTTTAGTAGAGACAGAGTTTCACCGTGTTAGCCAGGATGGTCTCGATCTCCTGACGTGATCCGCCTGCCTCGGCCTCCCAAAGTGCTGGGATTACAGGCATAAGCCACGGTGCCCGACCTCTAGGAACATGTTTACAGTGCACTGTCTGTGTCTCAATCTAGGCTGGCCCCTAACCTTATCAAGGATCTAAGAAGACCACACAGCCCTCACATAAGGTGAGAAGATGTTTGCCAAAGCCCTTTCCACATTCATCATCTCATTTTCTTCTCGTAAGAGAAGAGATACAATTTCAACCCATTTCATAGATATGGAAGCTGAAGTCTGGAGAATGTTTAAATGGCACATGTGGCTTTGCTGAGCGCTTGCTACTCGCTAAGCTCTGACTGTCATAAGCAGGTCTCTATCCTCATGGAACTTCTGGTCTAGTTCAGAAGCAAATCAAGAAGTACCTACATACTCTATGAAAAAGAAGAAGAGGCCGGGCGCGGTGGCTCACGCCTGTAATCCCAGCACTTTGGGAGGCTGAGGCGGGCGGATCACGAGGTCAGGAGATCGAGACCATCCTGGCTAACACGGGAAACCCCGTCTCTACTAAAAATACAAAAAATTAGCCGGGCGTGGTAGCGGGCGCCTGTAGTCCCAGCTACTCAGGAGGCTGAGGCAGGAGAATGGCGTGAACCCGGGAGGCGGAGCTTGCAGTGAGCCGAGATCGCGCCACTGCACTCCAGCCTGGGCGACAGAGCGAGACTCCGTCTCAAAAAAAAAAAAAAAAAGAAAGAAAGAAAAAGAAGAAGAAGGTGTTTTAAAAGAAAATAACAAGAGGCCTAGGTGGGTGGGGATGCTTGTCTGAGGTTGAGACAGAGTCAAGGGAAGAGCATTTCAGGGAGATGGAATAGAGGGTGCACAAGCCCTGTGGTGGGAAGGCCCTGAATGCTCCTGCTGCTGACAGGTGGCCCTGTGGGCAGGAGGTGAGCAAGGCCCATTCCCTTGCAAGAATCCTTGCAATGAACCATGCCTTCCTGCCTGGCGCTGCGTTCCAACTCAGGGTTTCTGACCAGTCTCCAGCCCCCTCACTGCTCCCCAGGGCCTGGTCAGCCCCTGCTTTGGGTGGTGTCCCCACCCTGCAACAGGGAGCCCCCTCTCTGCCTGACCCTTCCCATCTGCTGGGATCTCCCCAAAGCAGCCCCCTGCTCCCTGCCCAGTGTGGTCCCTTCAGCTCTCAGGACCACCCCTTTCCTGGAGCCCACAGGCAGCATTCCTAGGAGCCAGGGGTGGGGGCAGCTGAGGGCGGCTGTGTGAGCTTTCATGAGCATTACATCTGGAGAGGGAGACGGGAATGTTTGTGTCTGAAATTTAGCTAATATCCCAGGAATTTCTCCTGGCGTTTTGGAGGGTTCCTAGGGGGACTGCAAAGCCAGGATGTCTGGGTTCTGGGGGCAGACCGGCCACGCTCAAAGCCTCTTTGTCTCCCTGGCTCTGCCTCTGTGTCGACCTGGCAGTGTGTCTGTGTATTTTTGCATGTATGTGTCTGGGTGTCAGAGTGTCTCCCTCTGCGTGTATCTCTTTCTGTCGGAGGTGTGTGTGGGTCTGTCTGTGTGCGTGCTGGGATGTGTGTATGTGTGAGTGTGCGCGCGTGTGGATGTATGTGTCTTTTGAGTCTGGGAGGGGGTGTTGCTATGTGTCTGTGGGTGTGTGTGCTGTACTGTGTGCATGCTGTGTGTGTGTCTGAGTGTGGATCTGTGTGTGTCTATTTGTACCTGAGTATCTTTTCCTGTCTGACTTTCTGTCTGCATCATGGTGTGACTCTGGAATCTCAATTTCTTGCTGTGTCTGGAGCTCAGTCTCTCTGGGTGTCTGTTCCTGAGTGTCAGTGGGTTCCTGCCCACGTGTGTGTGCAGCTCTGCCATCGTCTTTGACACAGAGGTAGGAACCCCACTGGGTGCCTGGACTTCTGCTTTTGTCTCTCCCTCACCACCCCTGGCTAGGACTGGTCCCACCCTCCCTGTTAGTGGGGAATCCAAGTGAACTTGTGCCAGAGGTGACTGTAGCGGGAGGGAGAGAGTGAGTGAAAGGCAGTGGGAGGCGGAGGAGAGGACTGGGGGCATGGACCCTCTGTAAGTCTGTGTGTCGGTGCATGTGCCACTGTGCACATGTGTGCTCCTGTGTGTATTTGCCTCTGTGCCTATCTGTGTGTGTGTGTGTGTGTGTGTCCCTGGGCACTTGGTCTGTGCATTTCTGTGTGTGTGTGTGTGTGTGTGGTTGTGCACGTATACCTGAGTCTCTGTATGTGTGCATGTATGCCTGTGGTATGTGTGGGGTCATCTAGGAATATTTCTGGCCAGGGAAGGGTCCTGGCAGGCTAAGCCTTTCCTTCTTTCCTTCAGCCCCACCACAAAAAAAGATACCCTCCAGCGTCATGGGGGTTCTCCTGGGCTCCGTGCAGGAGCCATGCCCACTCTCCTGTGCTCTCCCCTCCACCCTTTGTGCTTTGGTCACAAAGCATTTTGTGCCACATCTTCCAACTGAGTCTCCCCCTCGTCCTGCTTCCCACGTCCACCATGCCCAGCTGGGCCTTCCTCACCTCCGCATAATGTACTGCTCTGCCCTGGCACCCCACTCCCAGTCCCACCTACACCTACGGCTACAGCACACTGCCCAGAGCGCCTCATTGCTCCCCTGCTCAAGACTCATCCAGGGCTTCCCCTTGCTGACTTAATGGAGCCAAACCCACCTGGCTCTGCCAGAAAGTCCCCCTGGATATCTCAGTCCAGGGGAAGGCTTTGTGCCTCTGCAACCAGCACCCCTTGGGCTGGAGGCATCAGCCCCCCAACTTCTCTCTCCCTGTATACTGGAAGAGATGGTGCAAAACTCAGCTCTGGAAAATCTCTGAAAACATCTGAAGTCAAAGGTAGGTGGCAGGTGGGAAGGAGAAGGCTGAGAAAATAGGCCACACTGTAAACATCTCAAGCACTTGGATAGTCTCTTCAAATGTTTTATTCTGTATGCAGTGTATGAATTTTCTAGGACCGTTGTAACAATCACAAACTTAGTAGCTTAAAACAACAGAAATGTATTCTATCATAGTTCTAGAATCCAGAAGTCCACAATCAAGATTTTAAAATCTAAGCACAGGACTCCAGTCCCTCCAGAGGCTCCAGGGAGAATTCTTACTCCCTCTCCCGCTTCTGACGGTGGCGATCCTTGGCGTCCCTCGGCCGTAGACACATCACTCCAATCTCTCCCTCCATCTTCTCGTGGCTTTCCCATGCCTTTCTGTGTCTCGAAGCTCTCTCTCCTTATAAGGACACCAGGCATTGGGTTTAGGGCCCACCCTCCATCTAGGATGATCTCATCTCAAGATTCTTAACTTAATTACCTCGGCAAAGTCCCTATTTCCAAATAAGGGAGTATTTCACATTTACAGGTACTGGGTGTTAGGACTTAGGCATATCTTTTGGGGGGACATAATTCAGTCCACCCCATGCAATTCTAGTGCTAGATACAGAATAGAAACTCAGAAACAGGTTTTTGGCCTAAACAGCTAATGATGACAAGTACCAGAGCCACAAGAACTGTCTGGGTTAGAGGTCGCCTCCTACCCCTGGTGCTCGGCCATCCCACGTGCTCTCCATGTAGTCTGAAGCACCTGCAGGGGCAGGCATCGCATCACTCCTGTGTATGTGGGCATGTGAGGGAGCTGGGGTGAGGAGCAAGGCTGTTGGGGAAATATGGGAGGATGGTGTATGCACTCCAGGCTGCCTCTGTGCTGTCCTGAATACTTCTGTGGGTTTAGGCATCTCCTGGTGAGATGAAGAAAACTGGGTCGGGAAGCAAAGGGTGAACAAGTACTTCCAGGCCTTCTGAAGCGAAGCTTCCTCCAGAGGACTAACAGTATGGTGGCAAAATCCTGGCCCAGGGTCCCTGTCCTGGTTTCAAATCCTGGAGCTAACCCACACTTACAGCGTAACCTGAAGTGAGACCCTCTGGCTCTCTGGGCATCACCATTCTGTTGTGGAATCTCTGTTTGTTTGTTTGTTTGTTTGTTTGTTTGTTTTGAGACAGAGTCTTGCTTGGTCACCCAGGCGGGAGTGCAGTGGTGTAATTTCAACTCACTGCAACCTCCACTTCCTGGGTTCAAGTGATTCTCCTGCCTTAGCCTCCCGAGTAGCTGGGATTACAGGCATGCGCACCCACACCTGGCTGATTTTTTTATTTTTATTTTTAATAGAGATGACGTTTCACCATATTGGCCAGGCTGATCTTGAACTCCTGACCTCAAGTGATCCACCCAGCTCAGCCTCCCAAAGTGCTCAGATTACAGGCGTGAGCCACTGCGCCTGGCCGTGGTGGAATCTCTTAATGTCTCAAGGTTATGGTGAGGCCTAAATGAACCTATGGGCCTGAGAAATCCTGTGCCTGTGAAGGCCAGGCCTGTTTTCCTGGCAAATAAAACAGCAACGTCTGAGGCACAACAAGAACAGCAGCCAGGCAGTTTGCTTTATATGAATTTTTAACCCCCAGGAAATCCAAAGGCAGGCAAGCGGCATTACTGGGTGCCTGCTATGTGCCAGGCATGGTGCTGGGCTATGACCTACAGTATCTCATTCTCCCGTGCCATGGGGCCTGCCTGTGTGGCATTGGGGTTAAAATACCCATGTTTTTTCAGAAGAGGAAAGGGAAGCACAAAAACTGGCCAAGGTCACATCTCTAGAAGGCTTCTGATTGTCTGCAAAGAAGTCACAAAGAAATGAGTCGAGGTGAGGGCCAGGGCAATAGAGGGGCAGGTTTGGAAGCCATTTGTACATTATGAGACCTGAATAGAAGTTTTGGAGTCAAAATAAATAAGTAAGCAGCTGATTTCCCTGGAGGAGACTCAAGCCACCTTTTATTATTTCATTGGCTCAGGAGCCAAAACAGCTGCATTTTATCATTCCTCAGAAATCCATAAAAGGGATGGAAAATGCTGGTGCTTATGGGGAAAATGGATGAGCATTTAAATTTAATTGTGGCCCCCTGCTGCCTGTGATGGGGCCTGGAGATGATGCCTATGAGCCTTGGGATTGCCCCGGCAGAGCAGCGGAGAGGAATACTTTGCATCCAGAGAGGGCATCCGGCCTCCAGGCCCAACCTGACCCCTTGTCTCTGCCCTCCTGCAGCCTCCATCCCCCATTCTCCCCATTCCTAGGACATGGTCCTGAGTGTTTCTGTGTGTTGTGTGCCTGGCCTTCTGCCCCAGCCTGGGAGCTCCATATAGGCTGGCCGGGTTTCCCTGGCCCCAAGTGGCCATTTCAGGCCTGCACAGTCGCTTACGTGGGAAGCTTCCCTTCCATCCCTGACAGTGGCCTTGCCTGGCCTCTCCTGCTCATTCTTCTTGACAGAACAACCAGGGTAAGCTTGTATACTGGACTCTGGCCTCAGTGCTGACTTGGTGAGGTACAAGATACCCTCATTGTCGTTCATGCAAGAAAATCAAGGGTTGCGGGTTCTATAAATGTAACAAGCATAGTTCAGGGGCCTGCGATCCGGCGCTTCCAACAAGCTCCTGGGTGATGCCCTTGTGGATGCTTTGTGGACAGCAGCCTGACACTCATGGCTTCCTAGGGCCATATGCTTCAGTCAGAGATGGGCAAACTGAGGCCCAGAGGGGCAGGGAGTTACCTGAGGTTACATTACGAGAGGGAAGGGAGAAGGGGACTCCCACCCCTGCCCTGCCCTCTCTCCCAGGATTCCAAACTCATACGCTCTAGGGATTGAAAAGCAGAAATGCAAGGATACGGTCAGGCAGCTCCTACTCAGCTCCTGCCACTGTCCCCAGGACCATGCAGGCCTAGTGACAGCAGTGCACCTGATTCTCAAGAGAAGTTGGAAATGCAGAATGTCACATACCTCCCAGTTTTAGATCTTTTCTGGTCAAACCAAACCTATTGGCAAGTCAAGTGGCTCTGGAGTGCCCATCTGAACGCTGCTGTTTTCCATCCCAGGAGTGCCAGCAAGGACACCTCCCTCTCCCTCAGCCTCTCGCCCATGCCCTCCCTGAATGGCCTCACTCGCTGCATGTGGCAGGTATCTGGCCTTCCTGCACCTGAATGCTGGGGCTGGACCAGGTCACCCCAGCCCTGTTCAGGAGAGAGGCCCGAGGCCCGAGAGGCAGAATGGAGGAGGCAGGTTTAAGGGTCTGGCAAACGTGGCTGCCAGCGCTAGCTCTGCATGCTCTTAACTGTGACCTTCCTCAGCCTCAGCTCCCTTACATGAGAAGTGACGATGGTCATGACAGACCCCGCAGAACCTTTGTGCACGTGATCCAAGATCAGAGGCAAGTCCCTGATGCAAGGCAGTAGCTCTGCCAACTGGGGCTCCTCTCTGGGTCCCTGCTCTTTCTGATCAATTATCGGCACACCCTGCCCACTGCCAGGGGCTTTTAGGTGCTGTAGACACTGCCCATGGTCCACTTCGTACTAAAATCCCTTTACCCTGCCTGGGTCTCCTCCCTCACTCTCCTCCTGATTTCCCGTTCCATTTTCACCCAAGCTCCAGCTCTTCCTGGAGATGCCTCCCTCCAGAGCAACAGCTTCTCAACAGGCAATGTAGGGATGGAAGAGTCTTCATCTTAAACACAAGCTCTGCTGGCCAGGTGCGGTGGCTCATGCCTATAATCCCAGCACCTTGGGAGGCCGAAGCGGGTGGATCACCTGAGGTCAGGAGTTTGATACCAGCCTGGCCAACATGGTGAAACCCCATCTCTACTAGAAATACAAAACAATTAGCTGGGTGTGGTGGCACACACCTGTAATCCCAGCTACTCTGGAGGCTGGGGCAGGAGAATTGCTTGAACCCAGGAGGCGGAGGTTGCAGTGAGCCGAGATCATGCCATTGCACTCCAGCCTAGGCAACAAGAGCTAGACTCTGTCTCAAAAAAACACACACACACACACACACACACACACACAAGCACTGCTATACTGGACGTGGCTGCCTGGGGCAGTGTGGAATGAGATGGTCTGACGTCCTCACTCAGTAAGAGGAACGGCTGGGATCAGTTAGTGATGTCTGCTGTGGGTGCGGTGGTGAGGAGTGGCAATGGCGCATGTGCAGTGTGCAGGCTACTCACCATCCCTTGCAGGGAGCACCTGTCATCCAGGCAGCTCTTCCCAATCTGCCTTCTTATTCACACTCCTCGAAGCCCCACCGTGAGCTTGGAGGCAGTGCACCACATAAAACATAAGAACATCGGGCCGGGCTCGGTGACTCACGTCTGTAATCCCAGCACTTTGGGAGGCTGAGGCGGGTGGATCACAAGGTCAGGAGATCGAAACCATCCTGGCTAACACGGTGAAACCTGTCTCTACTAAAAATACCAAAAAAACAAATTAGCCAGGTGTGGTGGCGGGCGCCTGTAGTCCCAGCTACTCGGGAGGCTGAGGCAGGAGAATGGTGTGAACCCGGGCGGTGGAGCTTGCAGTGAGCCGAGATCGTGTCACTGCACTCCAGCCTGGGCGACAGAGTGAGACTCCATCTAAAAAAAAAAAAAAAAGAAAGAAAAAAAGAAAAAAGAAAGAAAATCGGAGACATTGGGAGGTAAAGTGACTTGCCCAAAGTCCCAAGTCCCAGAAAGCCCAAAGGTTGGACCAGAGCCTAGTATTGCCTAAGTCCCCTCCCCTTTCTTTGCCTGCTGGCTCCATTTCGCCACATCCTGAGAGTAGCCAACGTGTGGGGACAAGGATATCACTCGGCATGCATGGACCTTTCCCAGGCAGTGTTTGGGCCCTGACTCTCATATCTTAGAGAAAACTCAGGCCTTGGTATCTCTAGAGCAGCCTGTGTGACCCTGGTAAGCCCCTCCTAATTTGCAGACCTCATTCTCCCAGTTTTCAAAGGATAGGGAGTGGTGCCTCCCACCGAACGAATGGCTGAATGGAGAATCTGCCTGAAGTGCTTGCTACTCAGGAGACCTGACCCCTGCTGGTTCTCATAGCAGGACCTCTGACTCCTCTCCAGCTTCCCCGTGGGCTGTGGCTCATTTACAGTCCTGTAAACAGCCCCATGGAGAGCATCCTGACAATCGGTAGAAGGGGAGGAGAGTGGAGACTTCACACGGGCCCACCCCCACCACCATGGGATTCTGCCAATCCCACCACCAGCATGAAAACATTCCTGTCCCTGAGGCCACAGAGTGTGGTCAGGCCAGGCCCAGGCTGTTCTGTCCCAAGGTCCAAGGTCAGAGCCCTCTCCTGCCTGCCTGGCGACTCAAACCATAGCCTCTGCCCCTTAAGCCTCAGCTGGTGGCACCTGCCCCATGCCGCGTCACCTGGCGGGAGAAAGCTGGATGAGATAACGTCTGGCCTGGGATCCGGCTGTAGTGAAAGAAAAGCTCTTTGCACACACGGCTGAGCCTTCACTTATTTATTTATTTTTGTTTGCAGCTCTCAGCCCGACTCGGCAAACCAGGTCATGAAGGGGAGAAGCTCATGTCTGTCTTGCAGCCTGATTTCCCACGGAAAGGCCCCATGTTTACAGTTCTGGGGTTTCCCAGCAAAGAGTAACACTCCAGTTGGAAGCTCATGTGGCCAAAGAATGTCTCCGGATCAGAGAAAGGCAACACACCACCCAAGAACACAGCTCTGTGGGGGGTCCCAGGAACAGGGTTGAAAAAGCAAAGGGAAAAAATATATAGCATTAATTTAGCATCTACTGTGTGCTAGGTAGTATGCTAGAGATTTCATCTCAGCTCATTTATCCTTAAAACAATCATACTGGGTGGGCAATTCTCAATCCTATCTGTACAGAAAATTTGTAAACATCATCAGTGGTTCTGGCTTCATTTTTCTGGGTGGGCCCTGGGCATAGTATTTTTAAAAGCATCCCAGGAGATTCTAATGGGCAGCCAGGGGTGAGAAATGTGGCCTTAAGCAGTGTTTCTCAAACTTCTGTGTGCATAGCAACAAATCTCTTGGATCTTATTAAAATACAGATTCCAATTCAACAGGCTGGGCCAAGGCTGTATTTCTGCATGTCTAGCTAGCTCCCAGGGGATGCCCAAACTGCTGGTCCCTGGACCACACTTTGAGGAGCAAAGGTGTAGCCTATAAACTCCAAGGCAGTAAGACTTATTGCTGCATCCCAAGTACCTCCAACAACGCTAGGGCTGAGTAGCTGCAGAATAAATATTTGTCAAAGGCATAAAGAAATGAACAAGGCTCAGAGGCAGGTATTGTGTGGCTGTCATGTGAGCTGGGGGACTGTGCACAAGTTACTTAAATATCTCATTCACTCCAATTTTCATTTGAAAGATGGGAGCAGTCATATTTTGAATTCCAGTGGGTTATTTGAAGGATTAAATGAGATGATGTGCAGACTGGTTATTAGATGATGTTAAAAATTATTGCTTACTTTTTAAGGTATGATAATAGATGTGTGGTTTCAGTTTAAAAATATTTTAACTAGTAGCAACACATACTGACGTATTTACAGGTGAAGTGATACAATGTTGGGTGTTTGCTTTAGATATTCCAGCAGAGAATGATGAAGTGAAGAAGAAAAGGAGGAAAAAAGAGGGGGAAGGAAGAGAAAAAGAAGAAAAGCAGGAGGAATTGATTTAAAAACAACAACAACAAAAAATGCCAATTGTTATTGAAGCTGGGTAGTGAGTATAAGGGAGGCCCTCGCTATTCCATTTTTGCATACATTTTCCATGATAAAAAGTTAACAATAAATTAAAAATGTGATAAAGCAGATAACATGCTTAACTTGGCTCCTGATTTATAGCAAGTGCTCAATACACAGTAGGTCCTGTTTCTTTGACTTGGCTGTGATCACGAGGCACCCACCAGTGCACCCTCCAACCCTGAGTGATGTGTGCTGCGTCCCAGCATCAGAAAGAGGAAGGATGAGATTTGAAACGAGGTCTTCACAGTGCTCCGCCCACAGCACCCCATGGCTAAGAAGCAGTGTTAGTTTACCTTCCCTAACAATTAGCAGCCATGGCTATGGTAAAAATAAGAACCATTATGGAATACTACGTCAGGCCTTTTGCATGCATTATTTAATTACACGATTTATTTACATTATTTAATTACATTAATTAATTACATTGTTTCAGCCCTGCAAAACCCTATGAGGTAGATGCCATTCCTACCACTCCCCAGGTAAGCAGAAGACTCAGAGCTGAGGTGCCCTGGCCAAGGGGACCCTGTCCGCCCTGGACATCCCAGTATGCACGGGTGGCCTCTGCATTATTTAATCTGTGACCTGCTTTGGCATCTCACTCCTGGTCTCAGCTCCTGAGGCACATCCTGCCTGCCCTCCTCACTGCTGCGTCTCTAGTGCCTGCATCCACAAGGTAGACCCTCAGGCAACAGCTCTTGCCTGCCCCCCAGCTGGACCCTGGCATGGGTGCCCAGGCACATGGAGGGGACAAGTGGCCCCTCCCTTCCCCTCCCTGTCTGAACCCGGAGGGTGGGATTTCCGTCCTAGGACTGAGCTATTATAAGTACAAGGCCGCCTGCTCCCCTGGGCTGCACACCAAGTTCTGCTGCAAACTCCAGCATGAATGGCAGCCATTCTCTGCCCAAACTCCAGCTCACTTCAGCTGTGTAGTCTGGGAAGGAAGACCTCAGCCTTCCCCAGGCCTGTAAATACCAAAGCCACACACGCAGCAGGACTGCAGCAGCCAATAAATCTTGGCCCCAGGGTTCTCTTAAAGAGGCAGAGCTTGGGACCAACACCAGGCCAGGCCCTGCCTGGTGACAGCCAGCACTCCATCCACCTCCCCTCGTCCCAGCCCCAGGATGAGGACAGAGAAGGCAAACATGCAGCAGGCACTCTCCCCATAAGCTTGCTTCTCTTGCTTTATAAAATCTAACTTTTTCCCCCTCTGCTGCTCACCCTAGGGTTAGGCTAACAAGGAGTCCAGTGGGAATGAGCATGATACATTTTCTGGACGTCAGAGCCACTGGACTGGTGCAAGAGGCTGTGTGGGAAAGCAGCGATCCCTTGGGCTGTCCACAAGGCAAGCTAGGGGATGCCAAGGTGGACAGGCAGAGTCAGGCAAGAGAATAAGCCCAGCACGTTCCACCCCTAGCAGGCATCGTGGCCACTGGTGAGGACACTGAGACCTGCAGTGCTGAAGATGAGAGGTGGACATGGCTGACCTCCTTTCATGCCACACCAGAGAAAAATGAGGCATGCGAAGTCCAAACGGGCAGGCAGCTCACCCAGGGGGCCCAGGGCAGTGCCAGGGCTAGACCCTTGCTCTCCATAAGAGGTGTCTTTGATTGTTCTTTGGATAGGATGTGTCTTTTTATGAGGAGAAGTCTGGTATTTAATTGCATCCTCCTAGAAATGAGATGTTCCGTTTCTCCTGGAGTCCATTTCCCATGCGCTAACAAACCCCCCGGATTTGTAAGATATCCAAGCCTTTTGTCTTGGATATCTTGCCTGGACACCTCGTTCTGCATGGCGCCCCTGCAGCATGCATCCTGTGCTCCTGCTTTGGCCACAGCTGGCCCTGTGGAAGGATTGATGCTGGGGAGACATGGCTCCTGCCCTAAGGAAGTGCACAGTTTGGGTGGAAGTTGAGAACCCCTGTCCTGTCCGGCTCTGCACCCTCTGGCTACCTGAGTGGGGTGCTGGGTAGACCTTCGCTGTTACCCGGGATCAGAGGACAGAGGGACCTGATGAGCCCAAGAGAGCATGGCAGGCTTCTCTCACCAGGAGGACAGATGGGAGCTGGGTGAGAGGATGGGGTCAATCAGATTTCCAGGGTCAGAGCTGGAGGGCAGGATACTCTGGGCAGAGCAAACCCCTCATGCCAAAGCACACTGGTTAAAAGATTATGCCAGGAGAGGAAGGAGTCGGGTGCAAGGCAGCCCCATCCCTGACCACATTTCCCACCCGCAAATCCATCCAGGAATGGTGCCCCCTGTAGCGGCTCCCTTGCACTTTCCCCATTGAGTCACCGACTCTGATTTTACAGATGAACAAGCTGGGGCCACGGTGAGAAGGAAAGTACCCAAGGTTGTCTGGCTAACTGGGGTCAAACCAGTTCCAAAAAATTGCCCCCTGGGTCTTGCCTTGGTTGTGTGATTTTATTGTCCCTGTGAAGGCAACTGGTGACTGTGCGAGTAGGGATGCATTTGCCAGTGTTCAGAGGAAATGATTAACTTCTGACCTGCTGACCTTGGCTACCTGATTGCCAGAGTGTTAGGCAGCTGCTTGTCACCTGGACCAGGGAGGGCTTGAGAAAGGGTCAGAGACTTCCACCCCTGCCCAAGCAAGCTGCTTTCACCCTGCACCTGGGACCATGGACTGTCTAAACTGGGAAGCCTAATAGAGCACCTATCCCTTGCTCAAAAAGGACACCGAGTCCCAGAGAGGGACAGCAAC